>NC_000014.9:72642016-72793531 GCF_000001405.40 Homo sapiens | reverse complement strand
GCATGAAGCTGCAGGGGGAGCCCATATGGCCTTGGCCTGCCTGGAGATTACCAGTGTCCTTATTAGACTGGCAGCTTGTGTGGATGCTTTTTGCCTTTTACTTTCTTTTACGTCTTGCTTTTGTGAGAAAGAGGAGAATTTACCACCAGTGAGCCTCATGCTGTACAATGAAGAGAAAGCAAGTGACCTCAGCTGTCTCTCCCCTCCCTCTGTCCCCAGGAGTGTCTTGTAAGCTTGAGTGGTCTTCTCCACCCAGCCAGTCCACATGGGGCAATGCTGCCTTGTTAAATGGCCAATGGCTGCGGTGTGACACTTTTGGTTTCCTTTCTTTCCAGATCTCCTTCAAATTATTACTTCATTTGCGGTAGTGATCAGAACAAGGCAGTTCTATTGATTTCTCTCCTTTCATTCTGAGTTTCTCCATAAATTAATTGGACCTAATCATGTTTGCAATCCTGTCTTTAGGGGGAATTGAACTTTCAGTGTTTAAAGGGAGGGACGGAGAATGATTTTGATTGGAGTGAGAGCATTCAAATTCTATTTGTGCAGAGATTTTAAGATAACACCCAGTTCTGTGTTTCAGCAGTGTTTTTTTTTTTTAAATTATTATTTTGAAGAACGGTCTCAGTTCTGGATATTTTCCTTGCAGTCTATAAAATGTTGTGGGAGCCATTCCCCTGGAGAAGCAGCAGCAGCAATCTAAGATTTGGAGGGGTTGAGGGAGAGAGGTTCAGGTCAGCTCTGGAGATTTGGGCCACACTGGGTCATTGGAAGTGGCCTCTGCTAACTGGACCTGGCTCCATCGAGACACAGCAGATGGGACTTCGCTGGGAGGGGTGAAATGGTCTGTAGGAGCAGGCGCTGCTACTGCGGGTCCTTGGAGTACTTTGTTACCCTGGGGACTGAGAGCTGGCCAGCAGTCATGTGGACCAAGGTCGGGAGGCTGTGCTGAGCCGGGTTCTCCAGGAGTCCATGGTGTGGACTATTTTGGGCTGTGTGGGGGAAGCGCTGTGGGGTGTGTGTGTGCAAGAGAGTGTGTTTGCCTCCAAGAATCGCTCCCAACACTAGAAATGTGGATTTCTTTTTCTTTTCTTTTCTTTCTTTTTTTCTTTTCTTTTTTTGCCATTGCTTCCTAAAAAATAAAAAGCGAAAGCCTTTGGATCTTGAGCGGTGTTCTCAGGGAATGTGCCTTTTGGCTGCAGAAAGGACTTAGGGAAGCACAGTCGGCTCCAGGTCCAGCGGCAGGAGGCCTTCCCCCTCTTTGTGTCACCCTGTCCCTCCCCTCCCCTTCAGAGTCTCCTCGTGACAGTCCTGGGCCTGACTCAGAGGGGTCTGTGCTTGCAGGCTTGTTTTCTTGAAATGCTGGTGTGTGCCCAAGGACGAGTGATGGCTCCTGGCTGGCTCTGCAGGAAGGAGCAGTGGGTCGGGGTTGGGGGCGGGGGTGGGGGGCATGTTCCAGCCCCCTGGCTGCTCAGCAGTCACTATGGCCAAACTGTGCCATGGTCCTTGGACAAAGTGACTCTAGGCAGCATGGAGCCCTCTGTGCCCTTTATCCTAACTGTCATCCTGCTCCACCTGATCTCCTCCCAGCCATGGGTGGCTGGCATCTCTGAGCTGCCTGCCTGGACTAGGTTCGAGTCTGTGGGCCTCCTGTCATTCAAAGGGATCGGTCATGAGGCAGCATGTACTGGTGGGGAATTAAGGCCTTATAGATTTGGGCTGACCTGGGATCTAATTCCAGTTCATCCACTTAGTAGTTTTGAGGTTTTGGTTAAATTCCTTAACCTCTGTGAACTTGTTTTTCTCGTCTTTTAACATGAAAGTGAATGTATGCAAATGGCAACCCAGAACCTGCCACATAGTAGTTGCTCAACAAATGATATTGTGATTTTGAAGCTGTGATGGCGGCTTTGTTTGAGGCACCAGGACATCATCTGAGGGGTCCCTTAACACCCCGCACAGGGGGAAGCTCCGAGCATAGGGGACCCCTGCATTGGACCCGATGCTCTCTGCTTTCTCCTAGTCTTGGGAGGACAGCTTGCTGTGGGCTTGCTGGGCTCCCCAGGGCACTGCTCTCCCTGGTGGGGCTGCCAGGGCAAACCTTCAAGCCAGCAAATCAACATTTATTTATAGGTCTTGGAGACAGAGAACAAACCCTGGCAGCAAAGAAGGGCCTGGTGAGGCAGCTGCAGTGACCAGGGGGCAGCGGCAGTGGTGGGGGACCTGGGGGAGGGGCAGAGGCCATGTAGCACTCATATGTCCGAGAGGCAGGGTTCCAGCAAAGCAGCAGCTCCACACGAAGTAAACTGAGGAGTGTTTAGTAACATGTCTAGTTTCAAAACTGCGGGCAGGGACTCACATGGTGGGGGGCTAGTGCAGCAGCCTAGGGCTAGGTCGGGGGAGTGGGGAAGGTCACCAGATTGCAGAGGTAGCTGTATGAAGAGGGCTGGCCCACAGGAGCTGTGACCTTCAGTGGGCAGATGCAGACACTCCACAGCAGGAAGGGGCGGGGAGAGGAAATCCCCTGTCTCTCTTCCCTCTCTCGGCACCTGCCATTGACCCAGACCACCAGGAGCAGAGGGAAGAGGGCAAATGGCTGACCATACAGGACAGACTTCCGCAGCACCCAGCAGGGAAAAGAATGGCAGAGAGAGAATCTGGAGGGACCAATGGAGGAGAGCCAGCACACAGAGGCCAGAGAAAGAGGCGATGGGGCTCTTGAGGGGGGAGAAGTAAGGCTGGGGACATTTTAGAGGTTCAGGGGTAAAGAGAATCATGTTACTGAGGGGACCCAGCCAGAGGCAATGAGGCAGAATGCTTAATATCATGGACTCAGGGGGACTGACAGAATGGGGGTTAAGTCTTACCCTATTTCTGTATGGTCTTGGGCAAGCTGTGTAACCTCTGAGTCTCAGTTTCCTCATCTGTAACATGAGAATGATAAAGACAATATTCTCTACCTCATATCAGGGTACAGTGAAATCCTAACCTACTCAGCAAGGTGCCTGGTACACTGTAAAGTCTAATAAATAAAGAACAGATAGATGAGTTTGCATAAAATAAAGTGTCCAATTAAGTAGCCATCATGTATTATGGAATGCTCAGTGGGGACATCAGACAATTCATTCATCCAACTCATATTTATATAGTGCCTACTATATGCTAGGGACCAGCTTTAGGCACTGGTGATAGAGGGGTGAACAAATTAGACCAGTCTTTCTCCCAGGAAGCTTTTATATCTATTGAGAAAAGCAGGTAGTAAATAAACATATACATTAATTAATTATTTTTTATTTATTATTATTTTTTAAGAGATGGGGTCTCGCTTTGTTGACCAGGCTGGTCTCGAGTTCCTGGTCTCAAGCAGTCCTCCCATCTCGGCCTCCCAAAGTGCTAGGATTACAGGCATGAGCCATTGTGCCTGGCCAATTAATTAATTTTAAGTAGGGAAGAGGTCTCACTATGTTGCCCAGGCTGGTCTTGAACTCCTGGGCTCAAGCAATCTGCCTGCCTTGGCCTCCCAAAGTGCTGGGATTACAGGCATGAGCCACCCACACCTAGCCTATAAAATAATTTTTGATAGTTGGCATCGTGCCAGAGTGATGGAAAAAGAATGAGTGCCAGAGCTAAGGAGTTTGGGGGAGGCCCCCTGAGGAGGGAGCAGTGAGTGGAGTCCTAAGGAGGAGGAGCACCAGCCCAGGTGCACCCAGGCTCATGCCTGTAATCCCAGCAGCACTTTGGGAAGCTGAGGCAGGTGGATCACTTGAGTCCAGGAGTTTGAGACCAGCCTGGGCAACAAAGTGAGACACGATCTCTCTTAAAAAAAGAAAAAAAAATTAGCTGGGAATGGTGGCACATGCCTGTAGTCCTAGCTACTGGGGTAGCTAAGTAGGTGAATTGCTTGAGCTCTGAAGATCGAGGCTGCAGTGAGCCATGCCACTGCACTCCTGAGTGACAGAGCTCCTGCACAGCCTGAGTGACAGAGCGAGACCATGTCTCAAAAAAAATTATTATTTTAGAAAAGGATGACTTAAATAAGCGGATAGATACAACACAAAATGTCCGAATCAGTCAGCAAACCTCTCCTACAGAGGCAGCGTGGTGTGGAGTGGTTAAGAGCCCAGACTCTGAAACAAGACCACCTGGTTCAAATCCTGACTTGGCCACTGACCAAGTGACCGTGGGCCTGTGACTGAAGCTGTCTGAGCTCCCAGGTCCTCAGCTGTATAATGAGGGGTAGTAGTAGCATCTCTTTCATAGGGTTGTTGTGGAGATGAAATGTGGTTCCTGTTTCTAAGCAGGGAGGGCACTGTCCCGCCCACTGTCAGGGCCATCTGGATGTTGTTACTGTTGCTCAGGTAGTCCTGATTCAGTACGGATGCAGTACCCATGTTCTCCAGGAGCTCACAGCCAGGACTGCAACGTGCGTTTAAAGAAACCACAGCAACCCAAAGCAACACGTGATGGTTTTCGAATAAGTAGCCACACCATTATTGGAGGGAGGCCTCACTGGAGGGCTGGACTGGGGATAGGAAGGCTTTGAGGAGGGATGTGAAGACTAGAAGATAAAATTAATCCTAACCAGGTCTGATGGCATCAGGTGAAGACAAAAATAATCATGTCAGTCTGCCCCAAAGCATTGCTTGGCCCTTCACACACTGTCTTTGGCAAGAGCCTATACTTCCTCAGGCCTGGCCTCAACTTTGGGACGTTAACTCTCATATCTACTGATAAGGGACAACCCACCAACCCCTTTGTTGGCCTTTACATCTGTTAAAAGTTGTTGTGACCCTTCCACCATCAACCTCCCCCTAGACTGGAGAGGCAAAGAAAGGTTAGAATTCAGAGGTCAGAAGTCAGGAGCCAGGGAGGTGGGGAGGAGGGCAGAGGGGGAGGGCAGTGTGGATGGAATTGACTAGAATCCTGTGTGTCTGGCAACTGGCAGATTCCTCTGGTAAGATAAGTGGAACCCTCTGCAAGGTAATTATTAGAGAGCATAAATTCCCCAGATAATCTGTCCTCCGAAGAGATATTGATGGCTGTGGGGCATGTGCTGGCGGTGCTCTCCCTCCACCCACAGTGACTCTGCGGCCCCCCTCCTCCTCCTCCTCCTCTTCCCCTTCCTTCTTTGTTGCTTCTTCCTCTGGTCCGCTGCCCTGCCCGGCCCTCCTCCCCACAGACCACAGCCTCTGCTTGCATGAGTTCTTCTGGATCTTTCTCAGTGCTCACCTCCTGCTCTTGTAATGACGAGATCCAGGACACAGTGTAGTCCTCCTGCATCCTGTGGTCCAGTAGGATTGGTGGTCGAGATGCAGCTGCCATGGGGAGGAGGAGTTTTCCAAGAACAGAAGGAGGGCTTGAGCTTCGCTTGTTCCAGGTCCCCAGAATGAACACTTACCAAGTGCATGCCCGTCAGGGTCAGGCACTGTGAAGGGCTGGGATCATACCCTGTCCCAGGGCTCAGGCGCTTAGCATGGCCAGGCAGTTAGGCACCTGTTGGTAGGTTTCTTTCACCTTACAGTACTCTCCAAAGCCCTCTCTTCTCTCCAGCACCTGTGGGCCTCCTGGGGAGCTCACACTTTGGCGAATATTCTCTAAATATTTGACAAATAAAAGAAGAGGCAAAGGCTGTGTGCATGGCAAATGGAGAAGCCGGGCCACCAGAGGCAGCCTCTCCTCTCTTGTCCTTAGCAGCTCAGTTCTGGCCCCGGACCTGCACCCCACCTCTTGACCAAACTGAACTTGTCTTCCTTAGAAGCCCATGTATTGCCATTACTGTCCGTGCCTTGGGCCACGTGTCTCACCTCACTCCCACCACAAACAGCTTATTAGTAGGGTGACTTTATCATTTATCAGCCAAGCAAGGGCGCTTTTGAGAGGGAAAAGTGTAATAATCATTACAGTGGGACCTTGATGCGAACTGGACTATTCCATGAAAGCCAGGTCCTATTTCTCAAAGTTCTCTGCCTGAGTGACACTAGTAAACCTTTCTATGTTCCTGGTAATGACTTAGTGTGATTAGAGACTGGAGCCCGGGTGCCACGTGGTTGGCCTGCCCCACCCCTTAATTTGGCTCTGCCCGTGTTCCATCATTTGGAATATGTGAAGACGATCTCTCCATTTGACGTGGGAGACCTGGGCCCAGAGGGCTTGAGAGATTTGCCAAAAACCCAAAGTGACTAAGTTCCAACTCCAATCTGGAATCCAGGTCTCTTGATTCCCACATCAGCCTAACAGGGGCAGACCCGCTTTTCCCTATTCCATGGGATGATAGAATGATGGCATAGCTGTGGGCTGGGCTTCTGTGGGCCGTGTGCATATCCTGATCACTTTCTGGGGAGGAAAGGGGTGTAAGCAGGGCATGGAGGCCCAGTAGGGAGAGGAAGCCATAAAGACAGTCTCTTCCATGCCTGGCTGTTCCTGAGGGTTCTATCTGGAGTGAGGGGCACAGGAGGGTTTTGGCGCCATCGCCTTTGACAGAGAAAATCAACTCTCTCTGAGTCCGCTCTGGAGAGAGGGCAATGCTCTCAAGTCTTCAGCTGCCTCAGCAGCAGCCTGCAACTCAACAGGAGGAAATTAGGGCTGTGCGCCTCTAGGATGTGTCCTTTCGCCCATTGGCCAACAGCATTTCCTAGATGAAACAGGGCTTTCAAGGGAGGCTAGAAAAAAGCAAACAAACGAATTTTCAGCTATGAGTTTTGCTTGCTGTAGTTAACAATAATTATTAAATAGGTAGGGTGAGCTAGTGCTTGTTTTCCTTATTATTAACTGTATTTATGGGTTTTTATTAGGTTGTACCAAGCTGAGATAATTGTAAAACTATCTGCTTAAGCTGTGTGACTCTTAGGTTTCCTATTCTATTATTTTGTATTCTGAGGGTGGAGGCTTTTCATTATTCAAGGCTTATGTTAAAAACCAGGAGTCGGCAAACTTTTTCTGTAAAGGTCCAGATGGTAAATATTTTAGGCTTTGCAGGCCACATGGTCTCTGTTGGAACTACTCGACTCTGTCATTTCAGCACAAAAGCTGCCACAGACAATATGTAAACGGATGGGCATGGCTTGCCTCCCATAAAACTTTATTTACAAAAATTAGTCCTGGGCTATGTTTGGCCGAGGGGCTGTAGTTTGTTGACCCTTGCCATAAACGATGGAGGAATCCCTGAACTAGGAGTCTGGACTGAGGATCTGATCCCAGCTCTGCCTCGGTATGTCCCGAGGACGTCACCTCACCTCTGTGGTTATTGATTTTCTTTTTCTTTTTTTTTTTTAGGTGGAGTCTCGCTCTGTTGCCCAGGTTGGAGTGCAATGGCACAATCTCGGCTCACTGCAACCTCCGCTTCCCGGGTTTAAGCGATTCTCCTGCCTCAGCCTCCTGAGTAGCTGGGACTACAGGCATGCACCACCATGCCTGGCTAATTTTTTGTATTTTTAGTAGAAATGGAGTTTCACCAAGTTGGCCAGGCTAGTCTCGAACTCCTGACCTCAGGTGATCCACCCGCCTCGGCTTCCCAAAATGTTGGCATTACAGGCGTGAGCCACTGCACCTGGCCTGGTTATTGATTTCCTTTGCAATAAAACCAGGCACCAGACTAGACAGTGTCTAACATTCTGGGATTCTTTAATCTGACCCTTTAGTTTATGACTTTCTGGCATTTCTCTTTTTCTGCCTTAGTTGATGTTCAGAACCACAGGGCCTCTTCAAGTCCATCGCCCCTTGCTCACATTTGGGATGGATTTGGTTTCTAAACTGCATAATGACATTTTGTATTTCTCTGATGGCATATTTTCAGGAAGCCCCATATTAACTTTTTTTGAGTTACTGAGAGGTGGCTCTGTGATAAGAAGGTTTATTTCTGGGCTATTTGGCAGTTTGGGATACTGAGGCACAAAGAAAAGAAATAGCTAAGATTAGCTAGCAAGTTGGTGATGCTGATAGAAACCTCCAAGAAAGGAAGTGTTCTAGTGCCTCCAAGAAAGGAAGTGTTCAGGTTATTCTAGTTCTGGAGGCAAAACTCATTGTGAGGGGGTAATGGCGCCCTTGTAAGAGGCTGACAGTGCAGTGGCCAAGAGTAAGGTTCTGGCAAGACTGTAATGTATTAACAAGGCCACATAGATCCTTAGCAAATCACGTAAGACTCTCTGTGCCTCAGTTTGCCAATCTGTAAAGTGGGGTGTGTGAGGGGGTGGGTATAAAATCATGGAGTTGTATGGGAATAATACAATTACAAGTTGTATGGGGATAATACATGTAAAGTGCTTAGAACAGTGCCTGGCACACATAGTAAATGCTCAATAAATATTAGCTATGCCACTATTGCTACTATAACCAGCATCCTGTTATCCTTCTGTAAATATGTCCAGGGTGTCTCTTCTTCATTAAAACATTTTTTTATTTTTTATTTTTTTGTAGAGACGGGGATCTCACTATGTTGCCCAGGCTGGTATTCAACTCCTGGCCTCAAGTGATTCTCCTGCCTTGGCCTCCCAAAGTGCTGGGATTCCAGGCATGAGCTGCTGTGCCTGGCCTTTTCTTTATTTTCATACCATATTCATTTTCAACTTTTTTTTTTTTGAGGCGGTGTTTTGCTCTTGTTGCCCAGGCTGGAGTGTAATGGTGCGATCTCAGCTCACTGCAACCTCCGCCTTCTGGGTTCAAGCCATTCTCCTGCCTCAGCCTCCTAAGTAGCTGGAACTACAGGCACCTGCTACCAAGCCTGGCTAATTTTTGTAGTTTTAGTAGAGACGGTTTTTCACCAAGTTGGCCAGGGTGCTTGAACTCCTGGTCTCAAGCAGTCTTCCCACCTTGGCCTCCCAAAGTGTTAGGATTACAGGCGTGAGCCCCTGTGCCTGGCCCATTTTCAACTTTTGAATTGGAGACTTAGGCTGACCGCTTTGCTCCTGGCCTGTATGATAAATGACTCTTGATGAGGTGGACGAATTGGGAAAGAAGATGGTAGAGGGGAAAGGTCTGGGAAGCAAGGGAGAATGGGAACCTGGGAAAATAAGTATAGTGGGGGAAGGAAAATCAGATTCTAGATTCAGCCAAGCTCCCCAGTATTTTTTGGGATGAGAAGAAAATGAGATTTCCCTCCGGCAGTACAGAGGTTTTGGTATCCTTTGTCGTTATCCTGGCATGTAGAGGTGTTGAGGGCAGATTTAGGCATTTCTAGGGTGCACTCAAGATTTCAGTTTCAGTCATCTTGGTTCCCAGTGTATTTTTACTTCCTCCACCACCAGGCAACTTAAGTTTGGGGACATAACCAGCCTCTTGGTCAGTCTGGCTTTGTTCTATTTACAAGTATGTGCCTCCAAAAATGGCAGGTCTGAGACAGTTTTCCTAGGAGGCTGCCAAGAGAGATTGGGGTGACTCTCAACTTTGCGGCGGGTGAAATGAGACTCAGTGCTTCTTTGTTTGGCTGGATGTCCCTTAGAAGGGCTGCCTGGAGATCATTTGGTGTGCAGGACATTTGCTTCTGCAGGCTGATTTTAACCAACTCTGACAGGAGGGCAGAGGCCCCCAAGCGAGGTCAGGACCACAAATCCCATGCCAGCAGGTGCGTGATGGGGAGACTGCGCCCTCCGGATGACCTTCAGTTCCCATTGATTTCCTGTCAAGCAGCCCCACCCCCATCCTGCCGCTGCCCCTGGCACCACCCGTGGGCCCAGGGCTCTGCAGGAGGACACGGATCAGCTCTGCAGGAAAGACCATGCAGAAGAGGTTAGTCCAGAGAGAGGCCCTTTGAGGGACATGGGATGGGTATGTTGGAGACCATCTTCTGGCACTGCTAGTTTCCGGTGCCAATATCAGGCCTGGAATGTGCCTTTTGGGCATAGAAAGCAATGTCTGATGTCTTGAATGGCATCGTTTATCTACCTCACCCCAGTCTCTCTCCAGGTTTGGGGTATGTGGGTGGCCATGATCAAGATTTGAGTGTGGACTGTGGACTGTGCCACTGACCTGCTGTCATTTATGTTGTGTTGGGCAGAAAGGGCCAGGAATCAGGTGGTGGCAGCTGTGTGATTCTTATTCCCTGTGCTGGGGGTCTCCTGCCAGCACTGACTTCCAGCCTTCTACAAGGCCAGGATTCGGTATCATTCAAGCTGTCAGTTGCAGGTGGGCCTAGAGCTTTCATTTTTTTGTTGAGTGATATGTGTCGAGCATTTCCTATGTGCCAAGTCTTGCGTTGGGGGCTGGGAATCTGATGAGACAAGGACGCTGCTCTCGTGGCACTTGCAATTTAGTTGTGTATAGATGATCAGTAGGCAAAGAGAAAAACTTTGATAGTGGTGTTATGAAAAAAATAAAGTATATGAGATAGCAAAGGGTAGGGCAGGGTTGGGGTGGGGTGGGCTACTTCCAGATAGGGTGAACCTAAGAAGACATCTCAGAGGAGCAGTCAGCTACAAGAAGATCTGGGAGAAGCATGTCATGCCAGGTAGAGGAGATGGCATATGCAAAGGTCCTGAGGTGAGATACCCTTAGTATAGAAGAGGAACAGAAAGGAGTGCAGTGAGGATGGAGCCCAGCGGGGAAGGAGGCAGGGGACAGGATGAAGCAGGAAAGGTGAGCCCAGCCAGCCTGGGGACCTGTAGCCATGGGAAGGAGTTTGGATTTTGCTCTGAGTGCAGTGAGAAGACATTGGAGGTGTTAGTAGGAGAGAATGCCATGGCCTGATTTCCACTTTTTTTTTTTCTTTGAGATGGAGTCTCGCTCTGTCGCCCAGGCTGGAGTGCAGTGGTGCAATCTCGGCTCACTGCAACCTCTGTCTTCCAGGTTCAAGTGATTCTCCCGCCTCAGCCTCCCATGTAGCTGGGACTGCAGGTGTCCGCCATTACACCTGGCTAATTTTTGTATTTTTAGTAGAGACGGGATTTCACTGTGTTGGCCAGGCTGATCTCGAACTCCTGACCTCGTGACCCACCCACCTCAGCCTCCCAAAGTGCTGGGATTACAGGCGTGGGCCACCGTGCCCAGCCCTGATTTCTGTTTTTAAAAGATCACTGGGGCTGGTTATAGTGGATCACACCTGTAATCCCAGGTCTTTGGGAGACTGAGACGGGCTGACTGCTTGAGCCCCGGAGTTCCAGACCAGGCTGGGCAACATGGCAAAACCCTGCCTCTATAAAAAAATACAAAAATTAGCCAAGTGTGGTGGCGTGTGTCTGTAGTCCCAGCTACTCTGGAGGCTGAGGTGGGAGGATTGCTTGAATCTGGGAGGTGGAGGCTACACTCCTCCACTGCACCACTGCAATCCAGCCTGGGCAACAGAGCAAAACCTTGTTTCAAAAAAAAAAAAAAAAATCACTTGGGCTGCTGTATAGAGAATTGACTATAGAACAACATGTTCTTTGTGGCCGTGTTAAATACCAGACCGATATTCCCTTTACTGGGGAGGGCAGCACCCTTTGCATTCCAGTGGCAAAGATGAGGGCTGGGGATCTGTTTGTCTAAGAATTTTCTCTAATCAATAGTCTGCTTCTATAGGCGATCACACTCAGGAGGCAACATCCGAGTGCCCAGCTCATAGTGAGAGTTTCAGGAAGGACTCAGTCTGTGGACCAGGAAACTAAAAATATTTTCTCAATCAATGAAATTTCTGTGACGGATGCATGTTTTCTTTCTAGGTATGATTCACCCTAGATAAAGCAGGCTTCTCCACCACCTCACTTTTGTTGCATTCTACACATTCTTTAGCCTCCAGAGGAGAGATTTATTTGGTCACGTCTGGATGCCATTTGAAAGGCAAACCTTGGGTACAAGAAAAGCTACGGTCCTCTTCCTCCCCGGAGCGTCCCCTTCCCACCTCCCCCGCCACCCCACCATTATTTACTGGAAGGAATCACACTGCTTTTATCCTGCCACCAGTCTCTTGTCCTTGGCAGCTCCTTGACTTCAACCTCGAGATGTGTATGTCATCAGAACACCCAGTGGCGGCTCAGAAATCATGGCCAGGTTCAATATAAATTCTGTCTTGCTTAGGCAGCTTTGCATAATAAGTCCCTGAAAAGTCTTCACCAGGGTAGATGCTGGAAAAGGGATTTATTGGGTCTACTGGGCCTGAACATCAGACTGAGCCACATCGAAGTCATGATGGATGTTTTAGGGTTCAAGCTGTTTGTCGGACATAACTTTCCCAAGGGATACCTTTGTCCCCAATGTGCCCTTCCTGAGATGTTTTGAAGGTCAGAGCCACCCACAGAATGACTAAGGATGTCAGATCTTCATACATTTGCCTTGACCAGGGCTTTTGGCAATTTTGTTAGGGATGAGGACTTTTGTGGGATTAGTCTGCTGCAGGTTAGTGCTGCCAGGGTAATCCATGCCAGCTGCCTGAAAGAAGTTTTCCCACAGAAACAAAACCAGCTGAATGAAACAAAGTCTGCTAACTGGGCCGTCCAGCTCTGCCATTCAAACATGGTGGCTGAGGAGCAACACAAGTCCCCTCTCATTCATGCCCTTGTTTTAGAGGTTGGGGAGCTATCTTTAGATCAGCTAGTCTCAAATTTCTCAGGATCACTGGGGAGCTGATGTCTGGATCACATCCCAAGCCTCTAGAATCAGAATTGCACAGCTTCCCACCCCTTAGCGATTCTTTCACAATCCTGAGTTTGAGAGCATTCTTTTGGAGCATGTGGTGATGGCATTCTCACTAAGCACAAGAAGGGCATTTCTACCCATGCAGAGAAGGAGCTGGTTTTCCTGGCATAGGTCTGATGTCAGCAGCATTGAGAATCAGTGAGCTTCTTGTAAAGTTCAGAGAAGGAGAATGTCAGTTCTGTGGCACCTTGCAGGGTAGCATGAATTTGCACATGGAGAAATGAAAATCTCAGGAGCTGAAGTGACCTTTTTTTAAGGATATGGGAAAAAACTCAATAGGATTTGAACTTGGAGGATATCTATTTTCAGATGCCTAATCCTGGGCTCTGGAGAAGTAGCCAGATAACTTCAGGCTCACCTCATGTTCCCATGGAGAAAGTTAGAACGTTCCAAGCACCTCTCAACTGTGAAGCTTTCATTAGTTTGCTGAGGATGACATGATAGTTCAGTCAAGCAATGTATCTATCACATGCTTCTACATTCCCAGTACTGTGCATGGTTGGGTAGCATGCAAGCACATAGCTCTCAGTTCCTGTCTTTAAGATACTTCCAATCTAATTAAGTGAGCAGAGATAAGGAAGGTGGCAAAGACCATCAAAAATAAAGTAAGACAGATAAGGTAGCTCAGAGAAGCCAGAGAGCAAACCCTACTGGTAGAGATAACCTGTGAACCTTCCTGGAAGAAGCAAGTTTTCAGCCAGCTCTTGACTAGGCTAAGATCAGCCAGGACAAGGACAGAATACAAAAATTCCAGGTGGGAGGAAGGATATAAGTAAAGTGTTTTGTTGAGATTCAGGGGTAGGGCTGTCTGTTTCATATATGCAGGGGGGTCAGAGGAGGATTCATTCATTCACTCATTCACTCATCATTTACCCAATGTGGCAGGCATGACCCAGCATGTACTAGGCTTTGGGAGAGAGCAGTAAACAAGCCAGATGTGGTCTCTGTGCTTAGGGCAGTCCTTGGGTGGATTGCTGGGGTCACCATGCATCAGCTGCCCTGCTCTCCTGGATGCCTGAGGCTCAGCCTTGGTGACCCAGAGGCCTTCTGTCCTGGGACAGAGGTTTGAGTGGGTCCCCGACAGCCTCAAGGACACCGCAATAGTGAGTGTTGCATCACATGGTGGGTATCAGCCTGCTCAGGCAGAGGGTCATGCCACAAAGTGGCAGCAAGTACTGCACTTTGGGGAAGGAGAAAGGAATGGCTATTGATTGCAGACTTTTATGTCTGTGTGCCAGAGGTTCTAGCTTATTAAATTTTCTCAGGTCTGAAGTAGAGATTATATTACCCATATTGTGAGTAGTAGAATTTAGGCCCAGGGAGGGTAAGTAACTTGCTGAGGGTTGTGTAGCTATTAAGAGGTGGAGCTGGACTCAGACATGACCAATTCCAAGTCTTGATTTTCCACTTTACCCCAATACATAGTTTTTCCGGGTGCATCCCCAGCCCAGCAGAGGAACCTGGGCACCATTGGGAGCCATCTTGGGTTCTACACTGAGGAGTTTGAAAGACTAAACACTGAGTTTCAGGGAGAATTCCTTTTGTCAGGATGGGTAAGAGTAGGGCTATAGCGCTTGCAGTTAGGCCACCCAGTGCTGCAATGTCCCAGGTGCTGGGTGATGAGGACTACAGGAGAGTGAATGCAGACATTCTCTCAATGTTTTTCTGAAGCTGCAAGTGGACAGCCATCCAGTTTAAATTGCCAGTCACAGACTCTGCAGACTGTGCACAAGCATGCCACATTAGCCTTCCTGCTGTAATTTAAATGCCTGCCCTAGGTGAGTGGAATGTGAGTTGTCAAATGCTTTTCAATGGAGACTTACTGGGCACCTGTTATGTGCCAGGCTCTGTGCTGAACACTGCGGGTAAATCAGCAAGAAGGCCAGGCAGGTATGCAGGAGTGCTGGGCTCCACCACTCCAGGGGGTGGCCTTCATATTGACGCTGATGTGAATGGTACTTGCTGGAGTTGTTCAGCCTGAGTGTCTGTGTGCAGTGGCTCTGCAGATGTGGCCTCTGCCCTCATGGAGTTTATAGTCTAGTAGAGAAGACAAATACTAAACATTGAATTGAGTTGAAATTGATATTATAGTGTTATTATTGTTGTCTTTGTTAGAAGAAGAAAAAATGTGGAAGGAAAGGGGATTGGAATCTCTCTCACCTGTCCTCCTTAGCCCTTTTTTGGGAAACATCCAGAAACACTTCCTCAGTCATGTCCAGCTGCTGTATTAAAATGGCATAGACTGGGTAGCTTAAACCGGAAGTCCCCAACCTTTCTGGCACCAGGGACTGGTTTCATGGAAGATCATTTTTCCACCGACTGGGGTCGGGGAGGGGATGGTTTTGGGATGATTCAAGTGCATTACATTTATTGTGCACCTTATTTCTGTTATTATTACATTGTAATATGTAATGAAATAATTTTACAACTCACTATAATGTAGAATCAGTGGGAGCTCTGAGCTTGTTTTCCTGCAACTAGACAGTCTCATCTGGGGTTGATGGGAGACAGTGACAGATCATCAAGCATTAGATTCTCATAAGGAGTGGGCAACCTAGATCCCTCATATGTGCAGTTCACAGTAGGGTTTGCGCTTCTATGAGACTCTAGTGCTGCCATTGATCTGACAGGAGGCAGAGCTCAGGCAGCAATGCTCACTTGTACCCCACAGCTCACCTCCTGCTGTGCCACCCAGTTCCTAACAGGCATGGACTGGTACTGCTCTGTGGCCCAGGGGTTTGGGACCCCTGGCTTAAATAATTGTCTGTCACAGTTCTGGAGGCTGGGAAGTTCAAGATGAGGGTGCTAGCAGGGTCAGATTCCAGGTAAGAGTCCTCCTTATAGCTCACATACAGCTGCCTTTTTGTGTCCTCTCATGGCAGAGATTGAGAGAGTGAGAGAGCTTGCTCATGTCTCTGCCTTATATGGGCCCTAATCCCATCATGAGGGCTCCATCCTCCTGACCTGATTACCTCCTGGATTAGGCCATTCTTGTATTGCTATAAAGAAATACCTGAGATTTGGTAATTTATAAAGAACAGGTTTAATTGGCTCATCGTTCTGCAGGCTGTACAGGAAGCACAGTGCTGGCATCTGCTTGGCTTCTGGGGAGCCCTCAGGAAACTTACAATCATGGCAGAAGGCAAAGGGGGAGGAGGCATGTCACATGATAAAAACAGGAGCAAGAGAGAGAGAGTCAGCAGGGAGGCACCATACACTTTTAAATGACCAGATCTTGCAAGAACTCACTTGCTATCACGAAGACAGCACCAAGCCATGAGGGATGTGCCCACATGATCTAAACACCTCCCACTAGGCCCCACCCCCAGAGTTGGGGATTACAATTCAACATGAGATTTGGGCAGGGGTAAATATCAAATGATATCACCTCCCAAATGCTCCATCTCCAAACACCATCACATTGAGGGTTAGGCCTTCAACATGTGGATTTTTTCTGTGAGGAGGAACGACACAATTCAGTCTGTAACAAACACTAAACTTGGTCTTCTTTCAAGAGATGCATTAGGAACAGGACCACTTCAAGGAAAATAAAAACTTTCCCGCACCTTGCCAGATATTGCCCCCTGTGTGCCAGTTATTCTAAAAGACTAAATGGGAGACGGAGCTTTCCATGAACAGTTTGAGTTAAACATGTTTAAATGCAAATAGCAGGAAGTTAGCATATTGGTGTAGATGAGCTTTCGTGTGTGTTTGTGGGCGGCTCTGGCGGTGTGAACAGCTGAGTGAGACAGCAGGAAAACTTGGTGCCCACAGTGAGGAAGAGGCGCCTCTGGGGGAAGGAGAGCCCCCACAATCCTGCCACAGGCCAGGGCTTCTCTTCAGCTCTGCTTATCTCTGCTTCTGTGCACAGATAGTAGTGATGGGCCAAGGTCCTGTTTACACAGCAAAGGGGACTTGGGGCCACACAGGGGGAGTGGAGAGAAAGGACGACTTCCTGATAAATGAAATAACTCAGTTCCAGATGGTTTGAAGGCAAGGGGAGAGTCAAGGCCAAGTTGCTAGGGAGAGGGAGGGCAGCATAGCCTCGGCCCCCACCCCCACCCCCGCCCCTAGGAGGATTGAGACTTGAGTGGGCGGGAGCAGGCTTCTGGCAGAAGATGAGAAACTTGCTATTGGACTCACATTTCTGGTATGGCAGGACACCTGTCCTCAGGTCAGAGCACAGAACCAGAGAGACAGTGAAAGGGAGGAGCCCAGGTGTCTGGCTGGACCTGAGAGTGATCTGAGAAATCGGAGCAAGCAGGTGTGGTCTTGAGAGCAGGAGGTTGGAGGAAGAGGAGCAGAGGGTCTTAGAGGGGTTGTGATTGATGGGCTCTGAAAAATCACATTTGGAGCCTGGTTGGCAGTCACTTTGGAGAAGTCTCATCTTTCCCATTCTGAGTCTTCTTTGGCCCCCTGGAGTCCATCTCCACAGATAGGCTCAAGGAGGGTTGCTGGAAATCTCATGTAGAAACACTCAGCTCTCAGAGCTGGGCTGGCTTCTCAATTCAGATGGGATCACAGAAGTACCTCCATCACTCACAAAGCCCCCTAGAACTAGGCAGCCAGCACTGCTGCAACCAGAATGCTGTCTGGGGAGCCTGGGGAGCCCAGCAATTTGTTTCCCTTGCCTTTCCTATTTCTGATTGCAGCCTTGAGTAGCCTGAAGTCAGTTGTTGATAAGAACATCATTCTACCCTGCCTTGTGCCAGCTTCCTCTAGCCTAAGACATCAATCATCCCTTGGGGATCCAGCCCCCTCAGTTTGGTGCATGCAGGTGATGGCTGGGACTGTCCCATGTGTGATCCAACCCAGGGTACACTGGTCACCACTCCACAGATGAGTCATTTGCTGCCAGCCTTTCCCTGCTCCATCTGACGCCTTCAACTTTAATGTAAATGTCACTCCTGGGATCCCATCATTGTGGGATTTTTTTTTTTTTTTTTGGCAGAAATACCATGTTGGAAAGGACATTTGTCCTCTGCTGTTTAAATTGCTTTCTACGGGTTAGGGAGAACTAGTCATTGATTTTCTTCTAGAGAGCATAGCAAGCCCTGTGACGATTTTGGCTAATTAACTTTTGGAGAAGTGCTTCTTGAATTTATCAGGGAGGATGAAATCTCTTTTCTCCTCTTATATCTTGAAAAAGGCTTTAAATTTTGGTTCCGAATCTCTGCCAACACCTGGTCTGTTTAAAAGGACTTCCCTGGAGATGATGGTAGAGGGGCTGTTGAATGTCATGTTTTTGCAGCTTCGATCTTTAATACAGTTGTTCCAGTCCACAGAAAGTCTTTTCTGTTTACATAAGACAGGTATCATTCACACAAAGATTATATTTAGAAATATACATTTTCCCCCAGCATGCTTGTAACTAATAACATTGCATGTTATGAAAGTAGAAAGTATTTAAGATGAAATTAATTTTCGCCCAGTGTGCCACTTTGTTTGACATTCTCGATCCAGTTGGTGTGGAGCACCAGTGTTGGCCAACCTCACTTTGCATTTTTAGCAAGTTCAGTTTCTTGTTCCTCTTGTCTGGATTGACGCTGTTGGAAGTGAGTTACTAGCATATTAGGACAAGTCCAATTTGGAATCCTACTGTGTAGATTTCTTTTGTATTGGTTTCCAGAAATTTATTTTGAAAGTGATCATCTCCAGTAGATGAGTTTTGCTATACAATTTTTCATTTTGTTTTTTTGGGGGGCCTGATTTTATGGGTTCTCTTTTCAGCAGAATTTCTGAGGTTGGGATAATTAACATCTTTTTTTTTTGGCAGTCTGTCAGAAGGTCCTGGGAAAACAGATTGCTGCTCTCACGTTGGACACCTCTCTGTCAAATGTTCTTGTCAGTTCTCTATCGATGTGGTATGGCTGCTTGCTGTTTCATGGGTGGGGGCTGGAGCATCCAGGATACCCTGAACAGCCTGGGTCATCTTGTCTGGGCCAAGCTGCCTGTGAAAGTTCTGTTCCACTGAGCTACATCGCCATAGCAGAAGGAAGCATTTAAGCTGGTGTGACACAAACACTTTGTAAAAAGTGGTTCTTTATTTTTGATCAATCTCATGATCCTTGTTACCAGCTTTGATTACATCAGCTTATGTGCCATTCAGTTTTATAGCATTGTAATGGGCTTTCATCTCCCCTCCCCAATTCATTTCCAGCTGCGTGACTATTACAATTTGATTACAGTTTGGTTTTGCAACTGCCAGGACACTTTCTGAGCGTATTATGCCTCCCTTATGAATGTGAAGATGTTCAGAGGTGAAAAAGGAGCAAAGGGTTTTTGTTTTGTTGTTTGTTTTTTTTTGGATGCTTGTCAACAAGTAATTTCCAAATGATGCCTCAGAAGCTTCCAGGGTTGTGTTTTCCCACAGTAAGATATTTGCTTTAAGCTCTTTGTTAGAACCTGACCCGTTGACTTTTTAAAAAGAGTATAGAAAAGTGCATTTAAAACTTTGCTTTCTAACAAGTGGTGATGAGAATGTGGAGTAGTTGGAACCCTTGTACACTGTTGGTAGAAATGGAAAATGGTACAGCTGCCATGAAAAACAGTATGGTGGTTCCTCAAAAAATGAAAACTAGAGCTACCATATGACTCAGCAATTCTACTCCTGAGTATATACCTAAAAGAACTGAAAGCAGGTTTTTTTTTTTTTTTTTTTTTTTTTTTAGACAGAGTCTCACCCTGTCGCCCAGGCTGGAGTGCAGTGGCACAATCCCAACTCACCACAACCTTCTGAGTTCAAGCGACTCTTGAGTAGCTGGGATTACAGGCGTCTGCCACCAGGCCCAGCTAATTTTTGTATTTTTAGTAGAGACGGGGTGTCACCATGTTGGCCAGGCTGGTCTCGAACTCCTGACCTCAGGCGATCCACCCACCTCAGCCTCCCAAAGTGCTGGGATTACAGGCATGAGCCACTGCGCCCAGCCTGAAAGCAGGGTTTTGAAAAGATATTTGTATACTCATGTTCATAGCAGCATTATTCAGAATAGCTAAAATGTGGAAGCAACCCAGATATCCACTGACAGATGAATGGATAAGCAAAATGTGGTATATGCATACAATGGAATATTATTCTGACTTAAAAAATATTATTCTGACTTAAAATATTATTCTGACTTAAAAAGGAAGGAAATTCTGACATATGCTATAATATAGGTTAACCCTGAGGATATTATGCTAAGTCAAATAAGCCAGTCACAAAAAGACAAATACTGTATGACTCCACTTTTATGAAGTACTTGGAGTAGTCAGAATCATAGAGATAGAAAGCAGATTGGTAGTTGCTGGAGATGGGGGCAGAGGCGGAACGGGGAGTTATTGTTTAATGGGTATAGTGTTTCAGTTTTGCAAGATGAAAAGAGTTCTGGGAATGGATAGTAGTGGTGGTCGTACAACAGTATGCATGTGCTTAATGCCACTGAACTGTACACTTAAACTGTACACTTAAGATGGGAAATTTTATGTTATGTGTATTTTACCACAATTAAGAAATTGAGGCCAGGCATGGTGGCTCACGCCTGTAATCCCAGCACTTTGGGAGGCTGAGGCGGGTGGATCGCCTGAGGTCAGGAGTTTGAGACCAGCCTGACCAATATAGTGAAACTCTGTCTCTACTAAAAATATAAAAAATTAGCCGGGCATGGTGGCAGGTACCTATAATCCCAGCTACTCAGGAGGCTGAGGCAGGAGAATCGTTTGAACCCAGGAGGTGGAGGTTGCAGTGAGCTGAGATCGCACCGTTGCACTCCAGCCTGGGCGACGGAGTGAGACTCCATCTCAAAAAAAAAAAAAAAAACCCAAAAAACCCAACACCCCAATTTTGCTTTTTTTATTCCTCTAAATACTTTGGTTAAGAAATGATATTTTTAGAGACTTCCCCTCTCATTTTGGCTTTCTGAAATCTACATAGAACCAAAACAAAAAGATATCATAATGTTGCTTCAGAATAAACACTTGATTCTCCCTTTTGCCCCTGTGAACTCTGTGGCTCCTTCCCTTCCTACTTCTTCTTCCCACACTCCACTCCTTTGCGTCCACTGCCCCCCGACCCCAGTAAGAGGCTTGAATTTACCTGGCATAAGTTATGTTATTACATTTGTATTTCTTTGAGGCATTTATTAACCTGTGCCTATGTTTTATTTGGTAGGTATTTGATCTCATTGATTATTTTAGTGCTTTGCATTTGATCAATTATATCAATGCTCCATTTTTGGTCTTTGAAAAGGACACTACCTTAAAATTAGTAGCATCACCACGTGTCCAAAAATACCAAAGAGTCAGGAACGTAAAATATACTGTGCTTAATCAGATTCTCAGTCTAGCAAACCAGAAAGGTCTTTCTATTTGTTTTTTAAACTCCATGAGTTGAATTATTTTGAATTTAAAATTGTTGAATTCTGTTTGTTTTCTATCGGAAAGTTATTTTTCTTTAAGTAATATGGTTTTAAAAGATTGGTGCCTGTTCCTCTACACCCCCTTCTTCCTGCAATTTCCCTACTTTTATAGAATGTTTTTTCTGTCCTAGTTTTTGTTTATATGGAGTGTTTCTCTTCTGTTGTAATGGAAAACTGAGTATCTTTGCTGGTGATTTGGGTTCACCTAGAGTGCCTTTGCTGGTGACCTCTGAGAATAAAATGTAGCTAATATGAGTGAGGAGGTTCTAGAAGTGTGATGTCCTCTAGATTCCATGCAGAAGGTTGTTCCAGAGCTACTTCCCTTCTGGAGTGGGACCTCATGCTTCCTAGAACATGGACAGCTCTCTCTTACTGGTGATTCATCCTTGGAAGCCCATGCTCTTTGTTAAAGGAGTTTCTAAGTTGCCTGGTGGATTTGGGATAGAAAATAAAATCTAGTCAAGACCTGACATTGAGTTGCATTCTGCTCATTGGCAAGGCTCTTGGTGCTCATTGCCTTGGTCTTCATAACTGGGAGGTCTTCAGTCTTTCCAGGGAGGTGTGTTTCCCTCTGGGTGTGTTTCCCTCTGGGTGTGTTTCAGTCTTCCCTGGCCTCACCCCTTCACTCTCTGACTCTGGCAGGCTCGGGGACCAGTTCTACAAGGAAGCCATTGAGCACTGCCGGAGTTACAACTCACGGCTGTGTGCAGAGCGCAGCGTGCGTCTTCCCTTCCTGGACTCACAGACTGGGGTGGCCCAGAACAACTGCTACATCTGGATGGAGAAGAGGCACCGAGGCCCAGGTGAGCTGCGCCACTCCTGGGACATGCGCATGTGCAGGCTCCCAGCCTGGAGGGAGGAGGACCGCAGCTTGTCTGGGAAACCAGGCAGCCTGGGTAGGATCGGGGTGGGGCAAGCTGCACATGGGCCTCTGAGATACCTTAAAGAAGCTCAGCTACTTTTATGGCTCCTGGCAGGTGTTTCAAGGAATGTGACAAGGATGGTGTGGGGCATTGAAGCCATGTGGCAGGGGTGGGGTGGGGTGGGGAGTGAAAGAGCTAAAGGTGTTTATCCCAAAGAAGGCAAGACTGAGGACATGACAGCAATCTTCATCTTTTACCTTTGGGTGTTGGTTACAAGCCGGAAATCTGCCATTAGATCTGGGTGTGAGGCTTACCTTTGTCACCAAACTTCTGTCCCTCAGGTTCCTCATCTGTAAAATGTGAATAATAATAGTACTTACCACATAAGATTTCGTCTGAATTAAATGAGAAAATTTATAAAAACTCTTAAATGAGTTTAGCACATAGCAAGTATGTGCTTCCAAAATGCTGGGTATTATTATTATTATTGTTATTTTTTTTTTTTTGAGATGGACTCTTGCTGTGTTGCCCAGGCTGGAGTGCAGTGGTGCGATCTCGACTCACCGCCTCCCGGGTTCAAGTGATTCTCATGCTTCAGCCTCCTGAGTCGCTGGGATTACAGGCGTGCGCCACCACACCCAGCTAGTTTTTGTATTTTTAGTAGAGACGGGGTTTCACCATGTTGGTCAGGCTGTCTCGAACTCCTGATCTCATGATCTGCCTGCCTGGGCCTCCCATAGTGCTGGGATTACAGGCGTGAGCCACTGCACCTGGCCTATTATTATTGATATTACTGTTATTACTACAGCTACAGTGACACTAGTCTTCTAGGCTGCAAAGAACAGAATAAAGACCTTTTTATTAGGGAGACAGCTACAGGAATGTGATTTTTCTGGCTCTGCCTGGATATGTTTTTAAAAATGTTTCATTTGGAAAAATTTCACCTTCATATAAAACTGAAGACAATAGTAAAACACATCCCCATGTAGCCCTGCTTCAACAATGTTCAACTCATGGTCAATCGTGTTTCATCTATACGCACTCCTTACTTTTCTCCCTGACCTCATTTTATTTTGAAGCAAATCCACAAAAGCACGTGATTTCATCTGTAAATATTTTGTTATGTATCTCTAAATGGTAAAGAACTTAAACAAACAAACACACTCACAATCACTATCAGAGCTCAAATAATTAGCAATAAGACTTTAATATCATCAAATATTTGGCCAACATTCATTTTTCCCCCTGTAGTTTAAATCAGGATCCAAATGGGAACCCTACATTGCAACTGGTTAATGTGTCTTTTAACATCTCTGGGTTTCTCTCTGTCTCTGCCTCTCTCTCTTTCCTCCTTGCATGTTACTTGTTGAAGACACTGGGTTGCTTACGCTGTAGGGTTTCCCAGAAGGATTTGGTTGCGTTCCCATGGTGTTATTACTGTGAATTGGTAGTTAGGTCTAGAGATTTATTCAGGTTCCATTTTTTTTTGGTAAGAACAACTCCTGAGTGGTAGTGTGTACTTTCATCAAGAGGCTCATACAGTCTGGTTACCTCTTTTACTGATGTTAGCAGCCCTTCATGATAATTGCCTAGATTCTTTATCCCATTAAGGGTTGCAAAAAGTTAATATTCAATCCAGGACTATCATTATATCTTCATTTGTTAGCTCTACAACTTCTATAAAGAAAAACATTCCCTCATTAAAATTTTAGTTATTGTGAGATACAGTTCACATATGAAAGGCAGGATAAATGACTTTTTTCCCCTCTATTTACCAGTTTTCAAAATAATGAGTTGGTTCCCTAGCATTCTCCAAAGACGATCAATATAATAATAATTATTTTTTTGAATACCACCAGGAACTCACAGATTTAAACATATTTGATGTATTTTAATCCAGTGTAGCTATTATTCTTATGAGGCTTATCTTGCCTCATCTCTGGCCATTCAGGATTCTGGCCAGTGCTGATGTGTTTTTTTTTTTTTTTTTTTTTGAGATGGAGTCTCACTCAGTAGCCAGGCTGGAGTGCAGTGGCATGATCTCGGCTCACTGCAACCTCTGCCTCCCGGGTTCAAGCGATTCTCCTGCCTCAGCCTCCCGAGTAGCTGGGACTACAGGCACATGCCACCACACCCAGCTAATTTTTGTATTTTTAGCAGAGATGGGGTTTCACCATGTTGGCCAGGATTGTCTTGATCTCTTGACCTCATGATCCGCCTGCCTCGGCCTCCCAAAGTTCTGGGATTACAGGCGTAAGCCACCGTGCCCGGCCCAGTGCTGGTGTTTTGAAACAACCCCAGTAGTTTCTGATGGCCTTCTTGCCATCCTAATATTAGGATGAAATATTTCAAGCTCATCCTGTACACTTCCTCCTCTCCAGGACTGAAATCAGCTATTTCTTGAAGAAATCCTGGCTCCTGTTTGTAGGAAAAGTTACTTAGAGACCGCAGTGCTGTTCATTGCTCCTGGCTTGGTCATTGTTTCTAGGCCTTATCAGTGACTAGAACTAAGAAATAGTATTCATTTGTTTTTTTCTTTTTCTTTTTAAGAGAAAATACATTATGAAATTATGTTGATACATCCCATTCAATTTAGATTTAAACAGTTTTTACTTAAGTATCTTAATTCTGTATCTCCTTTCTCCTACACCAAAAAATCCTAGAAATGATATTGATGTAATTACTTATTTGCTTTATTTTACACACACACACACACACACACACACACACACACACACAGACACTCACACACAGTATCAGAACAAACAATATGACTATTAACAATAAGATTACTGAAAAAGGTTTAAGATATTTTCTTTTTTTTGCAAGTCTTTTTGTCCTTAGGGTATATTCCATTAAACATGTGCAGCCAAATTACTCTCCTTTAAGGTCACTGAGATAGTTCCTCTGTGTGATTGTGCCACTAACTCAATACACAGTTGGATTTATTTGTTTCATTTTGCTTTCACTTATCAGGGTTTGCTTTTTGAGTGGGGAGGGGATTCATATAATTTCTTCTTTATTAAATCAACTTTTATCTTGAAATAATTAATAATTGCAATTGTGACTGTATTTGCAATTTGCAGTTGCAAATATAATAGAGATCCCCTATCTTCTTCATCCAATTTCCTCCAAGATTAATACATCTTACAATATCAAAACCAAAAAACTGACATTGGTAAAATGTGTATATGTAGCTTTATGCCATTTTATCACATGTCTAGATTTGTGTAACCACTTCTACAATCAAGATACAAAACTATTCTATTACCACCCAACACTCATTATTTAAATCCTTTTACCCTCCTCCCTTTATAATATAGTTGTCTTAAGCATTTCCTTTACATACATTGAAAACCATACCAGTGTTATAATTTTTACTTCAACCATCAAACATAATTTAGAAAACGTAAGAGAAGCGTTTATTGTATTTACTCATATTTTTACTCCTTCGTTGTTTTTCTTACTTACTGAAGTTCCAAGATTCCTTCTTTTAGCATTTACTTTCTGATGTAGTACTTTCTTTAGCCATTCTTTTAGAGTAAATCTGATGGTAACAACTTCTTAGTTTTCCTTCAGTGGAGAATGTCTTGATTTTGCCATCATTCCTGGAGGATATTTTTGCTGGATATAAAATTCTGAGTTGATAGTCCTTTTATTTTAGCAGTTGAAAAAGGTTTTGCCACTTCTTTCTGATGGTTAGTGATGAGAAATCTGCTGTCATTTAAATGCTTTTTTCCCTTATAAGTAAGGTGTCATTTCTCTCTCATTGTTTTCAAGTTTTTTCTTTGTTTTTAGTTTCAGAAACGTGATTTTGATGTGTTTTGCCATAGATTTTTTGGGTTTATTCTGTTTGAGTTTACTCAGCTTCTTCAACCTGTGGGTTTATGGGGTTTTTTTTTTTTTTTTTTTGCCAAATTTGGGAATTTTTCAGCCATTATTTCTTTGAATACTTCTTCAGTTCAACCCTCTTTCCCCTCTCCTTCTCGGACTTCAACAACACAAATGTTAGATCTTTTGTTATAGTCCCATAAGTCCCTGAGGCTGTGTTCATTTATTTTTAAAATTCTTCTCTCTGTTGCTCAGCTTGGGTGATTTCTATAGTTCTCTCTTCAAGTTCATTGCTTCTTTATTCTGTCCTCTGCCTTCTGCTGTTAAGCCAATCCATTGAGAGCTTTTTTATTTTTTGTTACAATTTTTTTCAGTTTTCAAATTTCTATTTGGTTCTTCATATTTTCTATTTCTTTGCTGAATGTGTTTTATGTGTTCATAATTGCTCGTTGAAACACTTTTAATGATGGCTGCTTTAAGATCCTTGTCAGATAATTCTAACATTTTTGTTATTTTCTTGTTGGTGTCTGTGTCTTTCCTCATTTGAGATTTTCCTGGTTCTTCATAAGATGAGTGGCTTTGACTGAATCTTGGACATTTTGGCTGTTATGTTATGAGACGCTAGATATTATTTAAATCTTCTATATTAGCAGGTCTCCTTTCAAGCTATGCTAGTAGGGGAGGCGAGGCTCCCCTTATTACTGTCAGATGGATGTGGAAATCCATCTTCTCTACTTGGCTTCTGTTGACATCCTCTTTAACAGGGGAAGAACACCTTGTTGTTGCTGAGTGGAGGTGGGAGTTCAGGCTCCCCACTAGGCCTCTACTGGTATTATCCTACTTGGGAGGAGGAGGGCCTCTACTGATACCACAAGGCACCAGCTCTTCCCTTGGCCTTCTCTGACACCAACCCAGCAAAGCTATTGGGATGCCTGCTTGTCTTGCTAGGCTGGTCCTTTCCTGGTTCTCTGGCTAGAGAGAGCAGGATTTTCTTGAGGTCTTTTTTGGTCTTCATTTGTTGGTGTTTCTGGGTTATCAGCTTTTCCAGAATCCAGTCCAGGATATATGAGGCATAAAGGAGACCCAAGATCGGGCTGGACACAGGCTCATGCCTGTAATCCCAGCACTTTGGGAGGCCAAAGGAGGAGGATTGCTTGAGCCCAGGAGTTCGAAACTAGCCTAAGCAACATAGTGAGACCTTGTCTCTATAAAAATTTAAAAAATTATCCAGGTGTGTTGGTGCGTGCCTGTAGTCCCAGCTACTTGGGAGGCTGAGGTGGGAGGATTGCTCAAGCACAGGAGTTTGAGGCTGCAGTGAGCCAGGATTGCGCCATTGCACTCCAGCCCAGGCTACAGAGTGATACTTTGTCTCAATAAATAGCTAGCTAGCTAGATAGTTAGATAGCTAGATAGATAGGTAGATAGATAAAATAATACCCAGGGAGCTCACCACCCACCCTGTTGTTTCTCAGGTCCCAAAGTCCCTAGCTGGTCTGACTGGTTCCCTTCATCTTTCAGTTATTTCTTATGTCTGTTCTATGAATAATGTCCAGGATATTTAGTTGTGCTTAGTGAGAGGAATATAAAAAAGTGTATCTATTTCATCTTTCCAGAAGCAGAAGTCCCTGAGATTGCCTTGTTATTAAAAAAGTTTAACAGCTTTATTGAAGTATAATTACATACAATAAATTGCACATACTTAATGTGTCCAGCTTGATAAGTTTTGACATATATTCACCTGTGGAACCATTACCACAATCAAGATAATGAACATATCCATGACTCGCAAAGGTTTCCTATGTGTTTAGAAATCTATCCTTCCTGCGCTTCTCCATGCCTCTACCCTTCTTTACTCCCTCCCCAGAGAAGCCATTGATTTGCTTTCTATACCAGAAACACACACTGTATACTCCCTTTTGTTTTTTTTTGAGATGGAGTCTCGCCTTGTTGCCCAGGCTGGAGTGCAGTGGCGCAATCTCTGCTCACTGCAAGCTCCGCCTCCTGGGTTCACGCCATTCTCCTGCCTCAGCCTCCCCGGCTAATTATTTTTGTATTTTTAGTAGAGATGGGGTTTCACCGTGTTAGCCAGGATGGTCTCGATCTCCTGACCTCGTGATCCACCCGCCTCGGCCTCCCAAAGTTCTGGGATTACAGGCGTGAGCCACCGCACCCGGCCTGTGTACTCCCTTTTTTAGGGACAAGGGCATGTCTGGCTTCTTTCACTTAGCATAATTACTAATTAATACTATATCAATAATTCCTTTTTATGCTGAGTAGTAGTCCATTGCATGGCTGTATCACAGTTAATTTATCCATTCACCTGTTGATGGACATTTGGATTTGTTTGCAGTCTTTGACTACTATAAATCAAGCCACTATGAACATTTGTGTACAAGTTTTTGAATGGACATATGCTTTCCTTTCTCCTTGAGAGGTTAACTACCTAGGAGTAGAACAACTAGATCATAAGAGAGATAGATGTTTCACTATTAAAGAAACTGCCAAGCTCTTTTCCAAAGTGGTTGTACCATTTTACATTGACTCCAGCAATATATGAGAGTTCCACTTCCTTTGTATCCTTGCCAACACTTGGTGTGGTCAGTTTGAAAATTTTTTTAGCCATTCTAATAGATATATAGTAGTATTTCATTGCAGTTTCAACTTGCATTCCCCTAGTTAATAATGATTTTGAGCATCTTCACATGTGCTTATTTGCCATCTGTGAGGGAAAATAAACTGTTTTATTCTCTATACTTTTACTCAATATTTCTGTGAGCAGATGTGTGGATGTCTTTTCCCCTACACCAAGCAATTCTCCAATTCCCTGCGGACACCAACTGGGTGTTCCACAGTTTAACTCAACTTTGACACTATCTACTGTGAGATATCGTCAGATTCCACAGACTAAGGGCTCAGCCCACAGCACTGCCTCAACTTCATATGCCAATTTCAAGTCCAGGTTGTCAGCTGTGCTTCTGACCTATGGGCTATAAATGGAGGTTTCCATGACTGCCCCTCATGTTTGATCATTTGCTGGAACTCAGGAAAACAGGCCGGGCGCGGTGGCTCACGCCTGTAATCCCAGCACTTTGGGAGGCTGAGGCGGGTGGATCATGAGGTCAGAAGATCGAGACCATCCTGGCTAACACGGTGAAACCCCATCTCTACTAAAAAATACAACAAAAAAAATAAGCTGGGCGTGGTGGGCGCCTGTAGTCCCAGCTACTCAGGAGGCTGAGGCAGGAGAATGGCGTGAACCCGGGAGGCGGAGCTTGCAGTGAGCCGAGTTCGTGCCACTGCACTCCAGCCTGGGCGACATTCCGCCTCAAAAAAAAAAAAAAAAAAAAAAAAAAAAAACAACTCAGGAAAATAGTTTGCATACTAGAATGCCAGTTTATTACGAAGGACATGTATCTGAAACAGCCAAATGGAAGAGGTACACGGGGCAAGGTAAGGGGAAAAGAGACATGAAGCTTCCATGCCTTCTCCAGGTGAGCCACCCTCCCAGCACCCCCACATGTTCATCAACCCAAAGATCTCTGAATCTAGTCCATTTGGATTTTCATGGAAGCTTCATTATGTAGGAATGGTTGATTAAATCATTGGCCATTAGTGACTAGCTCAACTACTAGTGCCTCTTTTCTTCCTGGAGGTCAGAGGTGGGAAGTTAGAGTTGGGGCTAAAAGGTACAGCCTGCTAATCTTGTGGTTGGCTCCGCTGTTTATAATCCCTTATCCAGAGGCTATCCAGCAGGTCCCAGCCAGGGTCATCTCATTAGCATATAAAAAGACACATCACTTGGAGATGCCAGGGGTTTTAGGAACTGTGTGCCAGGAAGTGGGGATTAAGACCAAAATATACATTTCTCATTATATCACAATATTACACCATCCATATATGTTCTTTGGTAAAGTTCAAATCTTTTGTCCATTTTAAAATTGAGCTATTTGCTTATTATTGAATTTTGATTGTTCTTTATATATTCTAGATACAATAAGTTTATCAGACCTATGCTTTGCAAATTTTTTTTTACAATCTGTGGTTTGTATTTTCATTAACTTAGCAGTCTCATTCAAAGAGCAGAAGTTTTCAATTTTGGTGAAATCCAGTTTATCAATTTATTCTTTCATGAATTGTGCTTTTGATGTTATGTCTGAGAAATTACTACCTAATGCAAGGTCAGGGTTTCTCTTATTTTTTTTTCCTAAAATTTTATAATTTTAGGTTTCACATTTAGGTCTATGATTCATTTTGAGTTAATTTTGTATATGGTACAAAGTATGCATTAGTTTATTTTCTTGCAGATGGATATTCAATTGTTTCAACATAGTTTGCTGAAAAGACTCGTCTTTCTCCACTTAATTGGCTTGTCAAAAATTAGATGTCCACATATATGTGTGTTTATTTCTGGACTCTCAGTTCTGTTTTATTGACCTATTTGTCTATCTTTATACTCTTACCACACTGTCTTGATTATTATAGTTTTATAATGTTTGAAATCAGGTGGTGTTAGCCCTCTAAATTTGTTCTTGATTTTCTTAGTTATTTTGATTATTCTAGGTCTTTTGCACTTCTATATGGATTTTATAATCAGTCTGTCAATTTCTACAAAAAACTGGCTAGGAGTTTGGTTGGGATTGTCTTGCATCTATAGATCCATTTGGGGAAAATTGACAATTTTCAGTATTGAGTCTTGCAACCCATGAATATGGCATATCTTTCAATTTATTAATATCTTCTTTAATTTTTCTCATCAATGATTTTTAATTTTTAGTGTATAGATCTTTAACATTTTTGTCAGATTTGTCTCTAAGCACTTAATACTTTTTGATACTATTATAAATAAATTTTTATACATTTTAATTTCTGATGTTTGCTAATATATAGAAAAACAATTAATTTAGTATATTCTTCCTATATCCTGCAACCTTGCTAAACTCATTAGTTCTAATAGCTTTCTATAGATTCTGTAGCATTTTCTATATAGTTGATTATCTGTTAGTTTGCTAGTAGATAACCTGAATAGTAAATAAAGAAAACTTACTTCTTTCTTTTAATATGAATAACTTTTATTTATTTTATTTGTCTCTTGCACTGGCTAGACTCTCCAACATAATATTAGGTAAAAGTGGTGAGACTGGACACCCTTATGTTGTTCCTGATCTTAAAGAGAAAGCATTTATTTATTTTTTTGTTATTAAGTATGACATTAGCTGTAGAATTTTTTGTAGATATTCTTTATCAGATTGAGGATGCTCCCTTCTATTTCTAGTTTGAGAGTTTTTTTTTTTAAATCACAAATGGATATTTGATTTTGTCATCTGATTTTCTGTGTCTATTGAGATGATCATGTGGTTTTTCTTTTGTTCATGGAAGCTTCATTATGTAGGAATGGTTGATTAAATTTAATATCTTAAGTTTACATTTAACATAATGAGTTACATTGATTGATTTCTGAATGTTAAACCAACATTACATTCCTAGGATAAACCCCACTTTGTTATGCTATTTTATCTTTTTAATGTATTGTTAGATTCATGTTGCTCAAGTTTTATTAGAGTTTTTGCATCTATGTTTATGAGAGATATTAGTCTATAGTTTTCTTGTAATGTCTGTCTGGTTTGGGTGTCAGGGTGATGCTGGTCTCATATAATGAGTTGGGAAGTATTTCTTCATTTTTACTTTTCTGAAACTTTATATAGAATTGGTATTATTTCTTCCATAAATATTTTATAACATTTACCAGTGAATCCATTTGGATCTGGCAGTTTCCTTGAGGTAATGTTTTTAATTATAAATTTAATTTATTTTATAGATATAGGGCTATTTAGGTTATCTATTTCATCTTGAGTAAGCTTTGTTAGTATGTGATTTTGTTTCTTTTATCTACATTCTCCTAATTGGTTGCACAAAGTTGTTCATAATATTGCTGCATTACTCTTTTAATATATGTAGAATCTGTGGTGGCATATTATTTTACTCATTATATTGTTAATTTGAATGTTATTTTTTACCTCATCATTCTGACTAGAGGTTTATCAATTTTATTGATCTTTTCAAATAAATAGCTTTTGGTAGAATTGTTTTTTCTGCTCTGATCTTTATATTTCCTTCTATTTACTTTGGATTTAATTTGCTCTTCTGTTTCTTATTTCTTTTAATTTTTTAATTTTTATGGTACATAGTAGGTTTATCTATTTCTTAAGGTGTAAACAGGTCATTGATTTAAGATATTTCTTTTCTACTACATCATTTTCTGATATAATTTCCCCATAAATACTATGTAAGCCTCATTTAAAAAATTTGATATAGGGTTTTTAGTTTCATTCAGTTCAAAATATTTTTCTGTTTGGTTTCTTCTTTTACTCATGGATTATTTAGAACTGTATTGTTTAGTTTCCAAACACTTGGGACGTTTCCAAAGTTGTGCCCATTATTTATTTCCATGTTAATTCCAAATGGTCAGAGAATAATTTTTATGGTTCAAATTCTTTTAAATTTATTGCAACTTGTTTTATGGCACCAAATGTGGTCTACCTTGGTAAATATTCTGTTTGCTCAGGAAAAGAATTGTGTTTTGCTGTTGTTGTTTGGAATGTTCTATAAATATCAATTAGGTCAAATTGGTTGATAATGTTTTTTAAATCTTCTACATCCTTATTTTCTATTTATTCTATGAATCATTGAGAGGTAGGGTATTGAAACTTATGACTATAATTGTGGGTTTGCTTATTTCTCCTTACAATTCTATTACTTTTTGTTTCATGTATATTGAAGCTTTGTTATTAGGTGTATAAACATTTAGTATTGTTATATCCTCAATAAATTGATTCCTTTATCATTATAAAATAATCCTCTTAATCTCTATTAATATTATTTTATCTGAAATCTCCTTTGTCTAATTCCAATATAGCCACTCCAGCTCTCTTTTGATTAATATTAACATGAAATATCTTTTTCCATTCTTTTACTTCTTGCCTATTTGCATCTTTATATTAAAAGTAGTTTTTTAATAGGCAGCATATAGTTGTGTTATGCTTTTTACATGTAATCTGACAATCTTTTTTAAGTAGGGGTATTTAGGCAATTTACATTTAATGTGATTATGTTTTCTCTCTTTTTTGTTGGTTTATTAACTATAACTCTTGTTTTGTTGTTATTTTAGTGATTGCTTAGTGTTTATAGTGTACATCTTTAATTATAGTTAACTTTCAAATTATATTATTCTATTTCATGAATAGTATAAGGAGTCTACAATAGTACTGTGATTAATAGAATAAGGCCCCTCCTCACCTCAGACATCCACATTTTAATTACTGAAATCTGTGCGTATGTTACCTTACATGGCAAAAGGGACTTCGAAGACAGGATTAAGGATTTTGAGATGGTGCGATAATCTTGGATTATCCAGGTGGGCCTAATGTAATCACAAGGGTTCTTATAAAAGGAAGGCAGGAGGAGTTCAGAGTCAGAGTAGATGTGTTGATGGATTACAGGCATGCGCCACCATGCCTGGCTAATTTTTGTATTTTTAGTCGAGATGGGGTTTCTCCATGTCGGTCAGGCGGTTCTCGAACTCCCGACCTCAGGTGATGTGCCTGCCTTGGCCTCCCAAATTGTTGGGATTACAGGTATGAGCCACCGCGCCCGGCCATCATTGTATTTTTAAAAATAGTTGATCATCTTTTAATGAGTTTAAAATAATAAGAAAAACATCTCGTATAATTATTCATGTACTAGACCATTTCTGATGCTGTTCATTCCTTTGTGTAGATCCAAATTTAGGTCTGGTATTACTTTCCTTCTGCCTAAAGTACTTCTTTTTAACATTTCTTAGAGTGTGGGTTTGTTGATGATGAATTATTTCAGCTTTTGTATATCTGAAACTATCTTTAGTTTGCCTTAGTTCTTGAAAGATATTTTAGCTGGGTATAGAATTCTAGTTTGACAAGTTTTTTTTTCCCTTTCAGTATTGTAGGGATGTTGAACCACTCTTTTCTTGCTTGCATTGCAAAGATAAGAATGTTCCTGTATATGTTAACATGTTTCCTTTCTCTGGTTGCTTTTAATATTTTCTCTTTATCACTATTTTTGAGCAGTTTTGATTATGACATACTTTGCTGTAGTTTTCTTAATGTTTATTGTACCTAGCTTTATTGAGCTGCTTAGACCTATGGGTTTATAGTTTTCATCAAATTTCAGAAATTTCCAGCCCTTATTTCTTTTTAAATTCTTTCTTTCTTCCTTCCTTCCTTCCCTTTCTTCCCTCTCTCCCTTCCTCCCTTTCTCTGTCTCTCTCTGTCTCTCTTTCATCTCTCTCTCTCTCTCTCTCTTTTGTGGAGACAGGATCTTACTATGTTGCCCAGGCTGCTCTCAAACTCCCAGGCTTATGGCATTCTTCCACCTTGGCCTCCCAAAGTGTTGGGATTAAAGGCATGAGCCGCTGCACCCAGCCTCCAGCCATTATTTCTACAAATATTTTTTCTTCCCTTTCTTCAATTACACATATATTAGGCTGTTTGAAGTTGCCCCACAGCTCATTTATGCCATTATTTTTTTTTCTTTTCTGTTTTTTCCTGTGGGTTTCATTTTGGAATAGTTTCTATTGCTGTGTTTTCAAGTTTATCTGTCTTTTCTTCTGCAATATCTAATCTGACATTAACTCCCTCTGATATGATTTTCATCTTGCACATTATAGTTTTCATTTCTAGAAGTTAAATTTGAGTCTTAAAAATACATATGTATCTCCCAAATTTTTACTAAACTTGAACACAGAGCATACAAATAATGTTTTAATGTTCTTGCTACTAATTCTAATATCAGTTTCAGTTCTGGGTTGGTTTCAATTGATTGATTTTTCTCCTTATTATAAGTCATATTTTCCAGCTTCTTTACATGCCTTGTAATTTTGGGTTGGGTGCCTCACATTGTGAATTTTACCTTGCTGAATGCTGTAGATATATTTTATTCCTATAAATGTTCTTGAACATTGTTTTGGGACATATTTAAGTTATTTGAAAACAGTTTGATGTTTTCTTGTCTTGCTTTTAAGATTTGTTAGGTGGAGCCAGAGCAGTACTTAGTCTAGGGCTAAGTATTCCCTATTAGTGAGGCAAGATCTTTCTACTGTACTCTACCCAGTACCCCGGGAATCATACAGTTTTCCATATTGGCTGGTGGAAACAGACTATTTCCGCCCCCTTGTGCACACCGAGCGCTGTTACCTCTAATCTTTTTGGGTAGTTCTTTTCCCAGTCCTATCTAGTTTCCTCACAGGCATAAATGGATCAACGCTAAGCTGAATACTTGAAAGGGACCCTCTGGATCTCCACATTCTCTGTGCAGCTCTCTTTTGTTTACCCTTCAGTTCCTTGGGTTCTAGTCACTGTGGTCTCCTCAGACTCTTGGCATTTTCTCTTCAACTCAAACGTGGGGAATCTGCAGGTCTCCACCTGTATTCCTCCTCCTTGTGTTCCAGTCTGGAGACTCTCTTAAGGCTGTAAGCTGGGGCAATCACAGGGCTTATCTTGCTTGTTTTCAGTGTCTCAGGGATCACTGTCCTTCAATGCCTGATGTTCATTGTCTTCAAAACTGTTGTTGATTTTTTTCTTCCTCTCTTTTGGTTTTAGGTGGGAGCTAAATCTGGTCTTTATACTCCATTTTAGTCAGAAACGGATGTATGCTTTTTATTTTAATTTAATTTTACTTTATAATTGTGTAAAATATTTGCATTGTTCCAATGGTATATTATGAGAAAGTCTAACTGTATCTTCACTTTTACCCTGTTTCTTTTTCGTATAGGCAATTTCCTCTTCGTCCTTCTCTTTTTCTTGCTACTATTATTTTATTTTTGCTCTCTCTCTAGGTAATTTTTTTTAGCTTTTGGCTTATACCCCCATAAAAAAAAACATGCAAACACACCACACACATATATTTGTCTGAATATGTGTGTATCCCCATTTGTTAAATAAATGATAGTATGTTATATACATAACAGCCATCCTTTAGTATCCACTGGGAATTGGTTCTAGGACCCCAGAAGATACCAAAATCTGTGGGTACTCAAGTCCCTTATATAAAATGGCATAGTATTTGCATATAACCTACACACATTCTCCCATATTCCTTAAATCATTTCTAGATTGCTTATAATACCTAATACAATGTAAATGCTATGTAAATAGGTATTATATTGTATTTTTTTAAATTGTATTTTAAATTGTTGTATTGTCATTTTCTATTTGGAAACTTTGATCCTGTTACCCGGTTCTGAGCAGGGGTAGTCACTAACTCTTTCCTACAACTCTTATTCCTCTTTAGTTCCTCGGCTTCTTGGTTAGCTGCCCTTCAAACCCAAGCAGATATATGGGATGCAGGATTGGGATGTAGCTGTTTGCTGTTGGAACAGAGGGTGGACAAATTGGTATAACTTATAGGGAGATAGATTTTGATTCAAAATAAGGTCATGGTGAATCTCTTTATCACAGTAAGAGTTGGCCGACAGTGGGACACTGTGTCCTGTGACATAATAAATTCTCCATTGAAAGGAAGTTTCAGGGGCAGCTGTGGGTCCACCTCTCTGAGATCCTGCAGAGAGAGAGCCTTTCCCTGGGGGGCTTGAACTGCCACAGTTCAGCTCTGGATGGGGAAAGATGAAACTACTTCAGTTTTTTTCTTCCCCATTTCAATTGCTGTTCCTATCCCATATCATTCTTCTCCCCTCCCTCCCTCCCTCCCTCTCTCCCTTCCTCCCTTCCTTCCTTCCTTCCTTCCTCTCCCCCTTTCTCCCCCTCTGTCCCTCTCTCCCTCTCTCCCCTTCTTCCCCTCTTCTCTCCTCTCTCCCTCTCTCCCCTTCTCCCCCTCTTTCCCTCTCTCCCCCTCTTTCCCTCTCCCTTTCTCTTCTCTTCTCTTCTTTCTTTCTTTCTTTCTTTCTTTTTTTCTTTTCTTTCTTTCTTTCCTTCTTTCCTTCCTTTCTTTCTTTCTTTCTTTCTTTCTTTCTTTCTTTCTTTCTTTCTTTCTGTCTTTCTTTCTTTCACAGAATCTTGCTCTGTCATATAGGCTGGAGTGCAGTGGCATGACCTCAGCTCCTATAACCTCCACCTCCTGGGTTCAAGCAATTCTCCTGCCTCAGCCTCCCGAATAGCTGAGATTACAGGCATGCGCCACCATACTGGCTAATTTTTGTATTTTTGATAGAGATGAGGTTTCACCATGTTGGCCAGGCTGGTCTTGAACTCCTGGGCTTCAGTGATCTGCTGGCCTTGGCTTCCCAAAGTACTGGGATTACAGACGTCAGCCACTGTACCCGGCCACTCTTCCCTCTCTTTTCTCTCCCATTTCATCTTCTAAATTCTGAATAGCTCATGCTTTGTCTGTGAGAGATGCCCAGAACCCTCAGGATCCACCTGCTGAACTTGTGCAATGTGCATAACCAGCTGTATTTGTCTGGAGTCTGCTAACCATAAAGGCATCAAGCCTTTCAATGCCAGGTATTTCCATGGAGCCAGTTCTCCCAGCAAGTGTGTGAGTTTTTGATTGTGTGTGTGTGTCTTTGTGCATCACATTTGTGCTTACACATGGGCAGGAATGTTGTAGCTCGAGTTGCAGCTCAAAGTAACAGAAAAGTAGTTTGCTCAGTGGGGTATGTGAAGTGAGGGGTGGCAGTGGCCTTGGTTACCAGGGAGGACTGGTTTCCCCTCTTGTCTTTGGCCACTTGTTTCCCCTCCTTCATGTCCCCTCCCCAGCCCTAGGCTCACTCCCCAAGGTTAATTTCCCTGACAGCAGCTGTGACTCCATCCTCCTTCCCCACCTCCATCTACCACACATGCACATGCACGCACACATATGCACACACACACATGCTTTGAGTTATCTGCCTCCTGTTCTGAGATAAACAACATAAGTCTCATGGGGCCCTGCTCTTCCCTCTGTAAGTGGAACTCCAGGGCTGAACGTGTTTTTCCTATAAAGGAACCCTGGTGCCTGTCAGCCTGTTGAGGAGGGCAAGGAAGGGGCCAGGGAGCTCCAAGAGAGCTCTTGCGACCATTTGCTTGTTGTGATGAGGTGGATTCAAAGCAGACATCAAAAAGAAGCCTGTTTCCACCTTCATGGCTAAAGAACCAAGTGGCAGCATGGTGGATGGGGCAGGGGGTCTGTCATGTTGCATGAGTGTGGAGTCCAAGACTAGGTCAGCTAACTCATGACAATTAACAACTGACATTTGTCATCTTTGTGGATATAGAGAGCTTTCTCTTGAATATAAGCAAATCCCCATAACAGCCCCAGGAGGTAGGTATTAATGTTATCAATGCCCTTATCTTACAGGTGAGGCAATAGGCTCAGAAAGGTGTTAGGATGCTTCCCAGGACTCACGTGCTCTTCCTTTGCACTGCAGAGTGTCTCCAATCCAGCAGAGAAAGAATGGAACAAAAACAGCCCCTTCTTCTGGAGATTCAAACTAGTTGCTAAAATGAATTCTCCCAGAAGAATGGGTCTAAAGCTCCAAGCAGAGTGGCCTGGGGCTTCTCTGGTACCGCTGACCACCAAGCACAGTGACTGCTGTCTCAGGGAGGGTGTAGGACCTGGACAAGTGTGGACACTTTTGCACTCTTGCCACGTAGACCTTTGGAGGGTGCTGGTGGGGGCCAGCTCACTCTTACTTACCTGTGTTTGATTAGGTTGGAAGCACCGTAAAGCAGCCACTGGGGAACGAAGGAAACCTAAGGCCCAGAGATGGCCATGGTGGGAGAGGGGGTGCAGGGGGCTCTGGCCTCAGGCCTGGGCCTCCACTTCTGGAGTCCCTCTTGGATGCTTTGGATCTGGGTGGATGAGTCCCCTGGAGCCAGGAACAGCAGGGCCAATGGTCATTCAATTCTGACATTTCTGAGTCCAGGTCAGTTCTAGTTTCTAAGAACCAAAGGGGTGGGGTGGTCAGAACCTCCAACTTGTTCACAATCTTGTGACCTGTGGAGCAGCTGTGTGATTAAACATAAAGAGACCTGAGTATTTTGGTTCCTTTAATGCTGGGATAATTGACTTTGTTTTGGCCCCATCCCAATAAATGGGTAGAGTTGACTGGTAAAAATGAAAATGAATGAATGAGTATATAGCAATGAAAGTTACATAGATTTTCTCTGCAAAGGTGAAAAATGAAGCCAGTTTCCCTTCTTAACTTTTAAGGGCCCTAAAATGGAAGACGGCAGATGGGAATCAGGTGCTGATGTTTTCTGAATCCATGGTCCTAGGTGTGCACAGTGACACTTTTGTGGTAGGCCGCCTGCGTCCAACAGCTGCCATGTGCCACATTTACCTGCAGAAGACAGAGTTGTGATTTTAAAGGAAGCTGCAATATATTCATTCATTAATTCAATGAGTATTTAGTTTGGTTCTGCTCTGTGTCAGGCACAGTTCTGATTCTGGGGCTTCTGACAAGAACAAGACAAAAAAGTCCCTGTCTTCATTAGGCTTTTCTTCCTATTAGGGATTTGTTGGCTTGCTGGTTTATTATGGGGGGTATCAGACACTCTCTTCAGGACTACAAATCACCTAGCCAGTCTGAAAATTACCTAGCCAGTCTCAAATACCTGCCTCCTCACCCCTCAGCCTCTTCCCCGCCCCATTTCCCTGGGAATAGTCTGTGACCTGGCATGGAGAAGTCCCTGTTCCTCTAAGGCCCGTGGCTGCCACCAGAGCCACACACAATTGTTGTCGGGTGAGCAGGAAGGCTCCTCATGGTGCTTGGCATGACAGTGATGCTGTTGGTGTCAAAGGCCACACACACAGGGTGGCACGTAAGCCCAGCCCCTGGCCTCCTGCCTATTTTTTTTTTTTTGTAAGGCCCAGGCATGTAGGCGGGGATATAGAGGTGTGCGGGCTCTGCAGGTCATGTGGCCTGGTCACCAGAGTGGGTTTATGTTCTCATGGGGGCTACACAAGCCTCCATTTGCCTACAGTGAGCTGCCAGCAGCTGGGAGTGGGTGGGAGACGCCTTTGAGTAGATCTAGTGTTTTTGGTTCTGTCTCTTTGCGATGCTTCTCAACCCAGGCTGTCCATACAGTAGGCCAACTGACTGCTGCTCCGTTTTGAAGGGAACCTGCTTAACCTGGATCAGGATAGAGGGGCAGTGGATAGAGATCCACTGCTTTGGAGACACTGCAAAGGTCCTTCTTGTCTGAAGGTCCAGTTGGTGATCTCTCCAGGCAGGAGAGCAGAATTGGTTTTGGTGAAGGCAATGGCTCTCGTTGGCATGGGCTTGCTGAACAGCATGGTGGAGCTGACAGAGCCAGGGTCCTGGGGTCAGATGACCTAGATTCAGCCTTGCCACCACTAGCAATCAGCTTTGTGATGTTGACAAGTCACTTCTCTCTGGGCTTCAGCTTCCTCTCCTTGTGAATGACGGGGTTAGTCAGGGTAGTTTCCAAGGCCCCTTCCAGCCTGGAGCCTTTAATCTTTATATTGTCTCTGTCCACAGGCCTTGCCCCGGGCCAGCTGTATACATACCCTGCCCGCTGCTGGCGCAAGAAGAGACGATTGCACCCACCTGAAGATCCAAAACTGCGGCTGCTGGAGATAAAACCTGGTCAGTGCCCTCTGGAGCTTGGCTGGGTCTGTGATGGGAAAGGTGGGAGGACTGGGCTGGGCCCAGGACAAGGTTGGTTTGCTCCTTTGTCCATAGAGCTAAGTTTTCTGGGAGAGGGAACATGCCCACATCATGCTTAAGGGTGCACCTCTGTGCCTGCTGAGTAGAAACATGACCACGTGTCCACCTGAGCTTTTCTCCCCTCTGGGTGTCTCATGCCTTCCCTTTGCCACCCCAGGGAGGAAAGAAAGGCTGCACCCCAGCCCAGGTGCAGGATGAATTTCCCAACAGAACTGAAGGATGTGCAGCTCTTTCGGGTCATGTGATACTTTTCTTGTGGCCTCAAGTAAAGAAATCTTGGCCCAGTTTGTATGTTTCTAAGGAGAAGATAATACACCGTGGACCCTCTACCCCTTACCCTGTATGAGCTTTGGAGCATCTTACACAAAAAGGGGCCAATTCACTAAAAATTGCACTTACCTTGGATGAGGATGGAAGAGTTTGAGATTACAATTTACCCGTGTGATGCAGATTGCTCTGTGGCCACACAGAAGGAATTGGTGGCGTTATGTCTATACTAATCTAATATATATATGTTTTTGAGACAGAGTCTAGCTTTGTTGCCCAGGCTGGAGTGCAGTTGTGCAATCTCGGCTCACTGCAGACTCTGCCTCCCGAGTCCAAGTGATTCTCCTGCCTCAGCTTCCCGAGTAGCTGGGATTACAAATGTGCACCACCACTCCCAGCTAATTTTTGTGTTTTTAGTAGAGACAGTGTTTCACCATGTTGGCCAGGCCGGTCTTGAACTCTTGGCCTCAAGCGATCTGCCTGCCTTGGCTTCCCAAAGTGCTGGGATTATAGGCATGAGCCACCATGCCTGGCCTATGCTGATCTAATATTACACTTCTGACTATTTGGCTGTCTTCAGACCTGTGTCTGTGTTGCAGCAAGCCAAGTGATTACCCCAGGCCCTTAGCTTTAAACGCATCTTTGTTTTTGAGGGTGCCAGGCTGGGATGTGACTCAGGGTGGTAGGGACAGTGCTGTTCAGTGGTGCAAGTAGAGTTGACATACTTCCTCCCACTGTCACCACAGCATTGCAGACTGTCAAGCCTGGCTGCCTGGCAAAGGTACCTCACTCCTTCCTTGCAACACTGGTCCCTTAGGCTGACTCTGCTCTGCAAAAGCTCTACCTACAGTTCCAGGGTTACGACTGCTTTGATTGTTCGCTTCAATCCGTATTTCACTTAAATAGAAGTTTTATTTGTTAGGGGTGAGTGGGTGCCAGATTCTTCAATGTGCTCTCTCCCAAGTCTCCAGTGTCCTTATACCAATTTACAGACCCTTGCAAATACTCCAGGGTGATGACAAGGTTGTCCCAACCCCTGCCTTGTTGCAGGTTGTAGGAGATCAGGTTCTCCTAGACAGCATGATGCAATAGAAATATAATGCAAGCCATGTGTGTTGTTTTACTTTGTCTAGTGGTTACATTAAAAAAAGGAAAAAGAAACAGGGGAAATGAATTTCAATAATATATTCCATTTAACCCAACATATCAAAAACATCATTTCAGCATGTCATCGATATAAAATCATTTATGATCTTTTTTGATACTCTTTTTCAATTCCATTGTGTATTTTACACATCCCCACATCTCTTTTTGGACTAGCCACATTTCAAGCACTCAGTAGCCACAGGTGGCTAGTGGTGACCGTATTGATCAGTGTGGTTCTAGACCTACATTCAAAGTGCGGTCCTGGCCTGCAGCGGCAGCATCACCTGGAGCTTGTCAGACGTGCAGAAGCTTGGTCCTTGCTCCAGACCTGCTGCATCAGAACCTGCATTTTATCACGATCCCCTGGAGTGCATCCTCAGAATGCACGATGAAGTGTGAGAAATGCTGGTCTCGAAGACTTACAGGTAGCTAGGCTACATGTCACCCTGACATGACCATAAGTACCAAAAAAGCCTTATGTAATTTTTAAATTAAAAACTTCCAAAATTTATTTGACTTTGAGTAGGTAATACAGTTACATGTACAGTTTTTTTAATTTTATTTTTTAATTTTTGTTTAGAGGGTAGGGTCACGCTCTGTTGCCCAGTCTGGTGTGCAGTAGTTGCAATGAGCTCACTATAGCCTCCAACTCCTGAGCTCAAGCACTCCTTCCACCTTGGCCTCCTCAGTGTGTGGGGACTACAAGTGCATGCCACCATGTCTGGCTAATTTTGTCTTTTCTGTAGAGACAGGGTCTCACTATGCTACCCAGGCTAGTCTTAAACTCCTGGCTTCAGATAATCCTCCTGCCTCGGTCTCCCAGAGTGCTAAGATTACAGGCAGGAGCTACTGTGCCTGGCAGTCACATATTTTGACATTCAAAAGATAAAAGGATATACTGTATCATGAAAAATAAGACCCAGTCTCTCCAAAGGTAATCAGTGGTAGCAGGTTTTTTTTTTTTTTTTTTTTTTTTTTGAGATTCTTTCAAGAGATAATCCATGCATGCACCAGGAATTAAATCTATCTGACTTTCCCTCCTCTTTTTACACAGCACAACCACTTTGGATTTTGCACTTTTCAATTAAAAATGTGCCTTAGATATTGTCCACAGCAAAATATAAAGTTTCTTCATTTCGTTTTTGTAATTACATAATATTCCATTGTATGAATTTGTCTAACCGGGCTGTTCTCAATTTTTGTTTCTAAATTTTCCAATTTAACCAGTGAGTGATGCAATGAATATTTTGCATGTATATATGAGGACGTCTCATATGTAAGTTGTCAATTTAAAGGGTTTTATTATAAGTGCTTGACATGTTTTAAATTATTAGTCTTTATTCTTAACATTTCTATAAAAAGTCTTGGTTAAGAACAATTTATATCAGACTAATTAGGTCTTCTTTTATAGAAGCAAAGACTTTTAGCACTATACGATACCTTAGATATCACTAACTCTGATTCTTTATTTTATTGGAGTCTAGACAGTTTAAGAAACTTGTTCAAAGTCATACAGCAATTTTTGTGGGTCCAGCAGAGAATCTAGGTTGCCTGATTTCCCTGTTCAATACTTTTTCTGCTTCCTCATACTATTGATAGGTATACTAACTTAAAGAAACTTTAGCCAGGCTTCTTCTCTTAAAAACTTTATTTTATGATCATAAAACTAATATATAAATTATTAAAATAACCAAGAGATAGTTGGAATTCCTTTAGTCATAAACATTGGAAGCTCAAGTCAAACTATCTTAAGCAGAAAAAGGAAAGTTGGCTCATGTACCAGTAAATCCCAGGGTTTATCTGGCTTCAGGCATAGCTACATCCAGGTGCTCAAGCATAGTGAGCGTAGTGAGGGCTACATGTCTCTCTTTACCTCTCTCTCTCTTTCTTACTTTTTTTTCTTTTCTTTTCTTTTTTTTTTTTAAACAGGGTCTCACTCTGTCACCCTGGCTGCAGTGGCACGATCACAGCTCACTGCAGCCTCAACTTCCCCAGATGGCAGCAGGCAAATAGCTTGTGTAGAGAAACTCTTGTTTTTAAAACCATCAGATCTTGTGAGACCCATTCACTAGAATGAGAACAGCATGGGAAAGACCCACCTCCATGATTCAGTCATCTCCCACCGGGTCCTTCCCACAACGTGGGAATTAGGGGAGCTACAAGATGAGATTTGCCTGGGGACACAGAGCCAAGCCATATCATTCTGCCCTTGCCCCCTCCCAAATCTCATATCTTCACATTTCAAAACCAATCATGCCTTCCTAACCGTCTTCCAAAGTCTCAACTCGTTTCAGCATTAACTCAGAAGTCCACAGTCCAAAGTCTCATCCAAGACAAGGCAAGTCCTTTTGCTTATGAACCTGTAAAATCAGAAGCAAGTTAGTTACTTCCTAGATACAATGGGGGTACAGGCACTGGGTAAATACAGCCATTCCAAGTGGGAGAGATTGGCCAAAACAAAGGGGCTACAGGCCCCATGCAAGTTCAAAATCCAGCATGGCAGTCAAATCTTAAAACTCCAAAATGATCTCCTTTGACTCCATGTCTCATATCCAGGTCATGCTGATGCAAGAGGTGAGTTCCCATGATCTTGGGCAACTCCACCCCTGTGGCTTTGCAGAGTATAGCCTTTCTCCTGGCTGCTTTCATGGGCTGGCATTGAGTGTCTGCGGCTTTTCCAGGTGCAAGGTGCAAGCCGTCAGTGGATCTACCATTCTGGGATCTGGAAGATGGTGGCCCTCTTCTCACAGCTCCGCTAGGTGGTGCCCCAGGTGGGACTCTGTGTGGGGGCTCCCACCCGACATTTCCCTTTCACACTGCCTAGCAGAGGTTCTCCATGAGGACCTCACCCCTACAGAAAACTTCTGCCTGGGTATCCAGGCATTTCCATACATCTTCTGAAATCTAGGCAGAGGTTTCCAAACTTCAGTTCTTGACTTCTGTGTACTCACAGGCTCAACACCACATGGAATTTGTCAAGGCTTGAGGCTTGCACCCTCTGAAGCCACAGCCTGAGCTCTATGTTGGCCCCTTTCAGCCACAGCTGGAGCAGCTGGGACACAGGACACCAAGTCCCTAGGCTGCACATAACAGAAGGACCCTGAGCCTGGCTCACACAACCATTTCTTTCTCCTAAACCTCCAGGCCTGTGATGGGAGGGGCTGCCGTGAAGACCCTTGACATGCCCTGGAGACATTTTCCCCTTTGTCTTGGGGATTAATATTGGGCTCCTCATTACTTATGCAAATTTCTGTAGCCAGCTTGAATTTCTCCTCAGAAAATGGATTTTTTTTTTCTATTTCATTGTCAGGCTGCAAATTTTCCAAACTGTTATGCTCTGCTTCCCTTATAAAACTGAATGCCTTTAACAGCACCCAAGTCACTTCTTGAATGCTTTGCTGCTTAGAAATTTTTTCCACCAGATACCCTAAATCATCTCTCTCAAGTTCAACATTCCACAAATCTCTAGGGCAGGGGCAAAATGCCCCCATTCTCTTTGGTAAAATGTAACAAGAGTCACCTTTGCTCTAGTTCCCAACAAATTTTTCATCTCCATCTGGGACCACCCTAACCTGGACTTTATTGTCCATATCACTATCAGCATTTGGGGCAAAGTCATTCAACAAGTCTCTAGGAAGTTCCAAACTTTCCCACATTTCGCTGTCTTCTTCTGAGCCGTCCAAACTTTTCCAACCTCTGCCTGTTACCCAGTTGCAAAGTTGCTTCCATATTTTCGGGTATCTTTTCAGCAATGCCCCACTCTACTGGTACCAATTTACTGCATTAGTCTGTTTTCACACTGCTGATAAACACATACTTGAGACTGGGCAATTTACAAAAGAAACTGGTTTATTGGACTTACAGTTCCACATGGCTGGGGAGACAAAGAGGAGCAAGCCACATCTTACATGGATGGCAGGAGTCAAAGAGAGAGCTTGTGCAGAGAAATTCTTGTTTTTAAAACCATCAGATCTCGTGAGACCCATTCACTATCATAAGAACAGCATGGGAAAGACCCTCCCCCATGATTTGATCATCTCCCACTGGGTCCCTCCCACGTGGGAATTATGGGAGCTACAAGATGAGATTTGGATGGGGACACAGAGCCAAACCATATCACCTAGCTATTTTTTTTTTTTTTTTTGTAGAGACGGGGGTCTCACTATGTTGCCCAGCCTGGTTGCAAACTCCTGGCCTCAAGCAATCCTCCTGCCTCGGGCCTCCCAAAATGCTGGGATTATAGGGATCAGCCATCACACCCAGCCAGTCTCTCTGTACCTTTAACACTCTCTTCTCCTCATAGGGTAAGTGAGGGGGCTGCCAGCAGCTCCAGTCTCAGCACATACCACACCCAGCAGAAAGGCAGTCACCCTCAACAGCTGTGGCAGAGAAGACCTAGGAAGGACAGATTAGCTGGCTGGGGTTATTACCCCCCCACAACCAATTGCTGCCACCCAGGGGATGGGACACTCTGGTTAATCATCATCATCATAACCAGAGTCCGAAGAGCATGCTGTAGTTCATGCAGCATTTTCTTTCATGTCAGCTCCTTGGTCCCTACCATAGCCCTGGAAGGTAGAGAGGGAAGGAAGAGGTAAGAGGGTTGTGAGCCCATTTTAGAGGTGAGAGAAATCAGACTGTGGACAGAGCCAAGAAGAATTTGTTGTGCTGCTCATGTATCTGAGGAGCCCATGTTGGTGGGACTGAGGCAGGCAGCTATTTCTTGAGTGTTTGTGCCTTCTGCCTAAAAACATTTACTTTGGGCACACGGGCCTGCCAGTGTTTATGCCTGGCCTGTGGGTGAACGTGGAGCAGCTGAGTTCACAGCCTGCTTTGGCCATGCCCCGTTGTCGGGCCTGCCGTAACATGTGAGGGGAAGGGAAAGGAAGAACCTAGGGCTAGCGGTTTGCCATAGCCAAGTCCCCACCTGCACATGGCGTCTTGTATCTGTGATCATTTGAGAGGCTTCTTCAGCCTCTGCCCAAGCATGAGGCAGAAGTGGCTAGACCAGGTTTCCAGTGGTGAAAGTCCACCCCAGGGATGGGCAGGGTCCCGGGGAAGGACCCCATCTGCAGAGACAGGTGCTGGCCTTTGCAATTATCCGCCCTCGGGGGAAAAGTTGGGTTCCCCCAAGGCAGGCTTATTCCTCCACACCAGCCCCCAGATGCTGAGAAGCAATGAACAGCCGGGGCTGGAATGCGTGACTGTCACATGGCAGAGCACCTTCTCAGAGGAACTTGTTCCCCTCTTTGGGTAAACAGACCTACTACTAGGCCTGCTAAAAACACAGAAACAACCCCCACAAACCCTAGGGCAGATGCTTGTCATTTCCCAATCCTCTTCTGAGTCTGAACAGCCGGGGCTGCACCTGGCTCCCAGAATGTACCACCATGCCAGCCTGCAGCTGCGGGTGGTGAATGAAGAGGCCGTCGGAGTGCCCTGGAGTCAGTGGTAACGAGCCTCAGCCTGGTACCTCCAAGCAGCCAGGGCCCATCTAGAGAATGAGAAACAGCGCAGCCAAAGAAATGTACCCACTGTCTTCCCAGAGGTGATGCAAGTTTGCATTTGAATTTTTTGCACAGGCCAAAATTTCAGAAGAGTGACTTCATCCAGGGCCTTGACTAGCACATATGGTTTTGTTTGTGCAAAAGTGGAGGGTGGTGCCCCCTGGGGGGTGGACGTTTACAAAACGTATGATGCCCTTTCTGGTGGGTTAGTAGAGCACGAGCTAGATCTCAGCCCCTCTTCTGTGCACCTGGTGGGGGTCCCTTTGAGGGCACAACCTGCCCAACTTCCAGAGGCTCTGCCCTCATCATTCATAAAATGCAGTTTCCACTTGAGAGGACTCCTCCCTTTTTTGGGGGTATGTCCTCCCTCAGGAGGGTTAACAGGGCTAACTCGGACAGTATTTTAAAATAACTATCTCTTATTTTTATTCCATTTGATTTGGGCTCAAGGAGAGCTCAGTTTTTTGGCTGATACTTCGCGCGTGACTCAGGATAGAGTCATTGGCCAGAGTCTCTGGAGAATTTGCTGCAAATTCCTAGGAGGTGAGGATCATTAGCTGGGTGGACTGAGGCTGACCTTCCCAAGGAGAGGGGAGCAGGTGAGGGAAACAGAGATGGAGATGGAGGGAGAGGCTCTTTTTTACACATTGCAACGGAATTGGTATGACCTTTTTGAGGTACAATGAATAGTACCTACCAGTATTTAAAACACACATGCTCTTTGACCTAGACATTCTATTGCTAGGAACTTATTCTATAAATGAATATATGCATATAATATATATTGGGTATATATTTTTTATTGTGGCATGGTTTGTAATAACAACAAAGAATGGAAACTTCCAGAAGATCCATTGATGAGGACTAGTTAAATATATAGTACTTGTATATTCTATGAATGGAATATTATTTTGTCCTTTAAAAGAATGAGTAAAAAAAATATGGAGAGATGTTAAAGATATATTGCTAAGTGGCGAAAAAAAACAAATTGCACAACAAAAAGCAAATTGTACAACATTGTATATAATCCTCTGGGCAAAACTTGCTGAAGAACGATAATTTGTCCATCCTGGGTTGCATCTCTTTAAATTTATGGAAACTGGAAGGCTGAGTTATGTTGGAAAGAACCCAACCAACCAACCCACCCACCCATGGTGCCCCTCCACACCCACCCCCTGAGGATGCCTGTCTTTTCCTCATCTTCCCTCCCAGCCTCCTGGTGTGACCTCCCCTTGACAGAGGATGCTCAGGAATCTAGTTTTGCCTAGTACTGTTGAAGCCCACCTGGGTTCTGCCGTCAGCACACCCTGACATGTCCTCATCTCCTCCGGGAAGAGGGAGAATAGTCTGCCTGCTCTTCAAGAGACTGAGGGGCCACTGGCCTGGAGCAGAATTGTCTCAAGGCATGAGTTTCTTTCCACGTCAGACTCTCCTATGGACAGTGAGGAGATGTCACAAAAAATTTATGCCAACATTCAGCTTGTCCCTCCTGTATTCCTTTCTGTCCCTGCCTGAGTCCAGCAGTGATGGGCAGGTTTCAGCAACGAAGTCCAGGGGTAACGAGGGTCAGAGTTTTCTCTGAGCTCAGGTCTGCGGAGCTGTGTCAGGAAACCAGGTCAGGGCAAAGAGTGGGGGGTGCACGTTCAAGAATCTTGAGGGCTGTTGGAGAAGATCTGAGGACAGTGCCACAGAACCATCCTTTTCTGATTCAGTCCCCCGAAGCACTTTGCTCATGTGGGATGAGTGGACCTTTCAGGCTGGAAAGTGGGGAGCTGGGCCTGGGTGACATGGCAAGAACCTGTCTCTACAAAAAATACAAAAATTAGCCAGGTGTGGTGGTGGGCACCTGTAGGGTGACACTACTAGGGAGGCTGAGGTAGGAGGATCAATGAAGTCCGCGAGGTTGTGGCTGCAGTGAGCCATGATTGCACCACTGCCCTCCAGCCTGGGTGACAGAGGGAGGCCCTGGCTCAAAAAAAGTGGGGAGCTGGGTCTTGGCTGACATCGAGTCATTTGTTCCTGGGTGAAATTATTCCCTCCTGGAGTGACTCCCAGTCCTGCTGTCCTCACCCCTTCAGTGTGGTAAATGCACCATCCCTCTTCTGTTTCTTTATTATTTGCTGAAAATAAAAATCTGTCTGCATGGGGATAGGAAGGGCCTGAGATCTGGGAAGAACTCTTTGGAATTTGCAAGTGTTCTCAGTGTCCCTGGACCTATGTGTTTCTCCTGCCAAATGTCACCCCTCTAGTCAGTCTTGAATAAACATCTTGCAACCTCCTACTTGCCTGGGCATCTGAAGGACAACACACACAACATTATTTCTCCCCAGTGACTGACAATTGAGTTCAGTGTTCTCTGCAGCTTGCACTTGGCCACAGAGGCGAATGCAAGGTGTTTCATGATGTAGACATCACAATTCTACAACACAAAGACTTGGGCAGGGGCCTGGTGCCAGCAAGGGGCCTCCCCCGGACCATCTCCCCAGGAAAAGGGCTCTGTCCTTGTGAAGGGGGAGTGGAGCTGGCAGAAGAGAAAGGTGGAGAGTAAATATCCACCAGAAGGCCTGGGAGCACAGCAGATGTTGGGCAAAAGCCAGCTGATTAAAAAAGAGGCCTTTAACTTCACTTTCTTTCTTTTTCTTTTCCTTTTTTTTTTTTTTTTGAATGAAGAAAAGACAAAGGCTGGGAACAAACTTTTACTTGTGTCCCCTTGAAGTAAATGCCCAGATAGTCTGCTTAGATCAATTTAGCATCTTTCAACCCCAGACCTTCGGTCCCCATGGTCTAGGACAGATATTATCTTCATTTTAGAGGTTGGGAAACTGCGGCACAGAATTAGGAAGCTAATTTCCCAGGGGATCCTGGTGATGCCAGGATCCTGGTGATGCTCCCTATGGGGAGCCTGCTGGAGCTGCTGCCATGTTGCTTGAAGGCCCGACACACTCACTTATCCTGGACCCGCAGATGAAAAGGGCTTTACAGTTGACGCTCCTCCTGTACCTGGAATGCACCTGAGGCCTTGTCGATCCCTTCTGCTCCAGGACTCTTGGGGAGCAGGGTGGCTCTTTGCCACCCTTGCCGAATTCCGAGGGTGATGGGAGGGAGGGCAGCCAGGGATAGTGTTCTTTCTCTTGTATTTTTTCTGTTTTTGGCAGTCCTTCAATGACTGGGGATGAACGACCAGGATGATCGCCCCCATCCCATGTCGTTGGGGGAAACTCAGACAAGAGGGCATGCACCCCGAAGACGACAGTGGCTTAAGGTGTCCCAAAGCAGAGAGGGCCACAGGCTGGCCAACAAGCAAGTCGTAGGGACCTGCAGAGGGGTATCTCCCAAAGGGGTGGTCCAGGCGGAGGGACTTGAGTCTGGCCAGCTCGAGCAGGGGTGGTGAGGCCTACTTCACCCACCCAGGGTGCTGTCCCTGCTGCGCTGAACTGCCAGAACTCTACAGATGGGAGCAGGCTGCGGCCAACTTCCCCAGCTTTTGAAAATCCTGCATCTTAATTAGTTCCCTACTGCTTTTGTACATGGCCCACATTTTAATAGTCTCCAGGCTTCTCCACCATTTGCTCTCTGATGTTCGGTGCGATTTCTCTTCTCCTCAAGACAGTGCCCCTGGCTCCTGCGACACCCTCCCAATCCGGGAACAACTTAAGGAACGCCGAGGTGCCAAGCATGTAACCTGAGATTGATGAGCCTGTCAGCGGCTCCTTCTGCCCCCAGCCTTCCCCCTCTGCCGTGTGCTCTTCAGATGGATGAGCCAGGCGGGGGTGGGCAAGAACGGGGAGATGGAGGAAGGGACCCGCGGAGCCTCGAGCCAGGTGTGAGCCAATGGACAACGCGACCTTCTCCCGGCCTGCAGAGGAGTCTGGCTGTGTCCTTCCGAGGGGGAAGGACGCTCCGGCTCCCACCCCCATCTGTCAGTGCTTATCTGTCTCTGGGCGGTGGGGGTTGCCTGAGCTTGGTACGGCTGGGAGAATGGATGCCTTCAAGTGCATCAGGGGGAAATGACCAGTCATTTATCTCTTTCCTGCAGTGTCAGAGCCTGCAGCCATCCATCTGGAGGCCTGCACCGGCAGCTTCGTCAGCTCTGGTTGGCCTCATGAGAAGGGGAGCTGGAGCGAGGTGGGCAGGGCGTGCAGCCCCCACTCAGGCTGTGGCTATTACGTGCTGGAAGGGACCTGCTCCTTTTGCCTTCCTGTCCGTCTCAGGAAAGGAGCAGGGACTGGGGGACGAAGTCTGTGTGACTTCAGCTCTGCTCGTGTTCCCCAGCTCTGCTGGTGTTCTGCAGGGCTCTGGGAGCTTGGGCTGGCCGAGGAGGTGGGCTGGCAGCAGGCAGTGGGCAGGACAGTGGCACGGCTGCTGCTGAGTGTCCACGGTCATGTTTTGCAGTGGGACCTGGCAGAGCCACGTGTAGAGCATGAGTTGTGAGTCTGAGGGATCACCCAGTTATGCCATTGCCTGCTCACCTGTACCTCTGCCCACTGGGAGGTGGACAACTTGACGGCGAGGGCCCATCTGTTTCTTCATCTGTATCCCTAGCACCCAGCATGAGGCTTGGCACATAGTACATGGGCAGTAAAGATTTCTAAAGGGATGAGGGAAAGAGACATGTCTGGTGTTTGATCTTAACCTTGGAGAACATGACTTAGCTCTCATCATCTCTGCTTCACAGATGAGGGAGGCTCCGCCAGAGAGGAGAGGCCTGGGGTGGCTGAGCTTGGCTTCCCTTGTGGTTCCCAGCCTGGCCTGGGGGGCCCAAGTGTTGCCATCTTGGCTGTTTGGTTTTGGGTTGTAGGGGCCTTCCCTGTCCAAATATCCTTGCTCTGCAGGAGGACAGGCACCAAACAGGGATCACAGGCCTAGGTTCAAGTCTAGATCCCTCCAGCCACTGGCTGTGTGATTTTGGACAATTTCCTAACCACTCCTGCCTCAGTCCTTCATCTGTGAGATGTGGGTCATGGTGATTTTGCGGGGTTATTCTGAGAGGCGTGTGGGATGGAGGGTGGAGGACTTGGCAAGTGTGAGGAGGCACTGTGATTCTACCTCCACACTGCACTGCTGGGTGGGTCTCTGCAACACAGTTCCCGTCCCCAACACCGAAAATGAATTTGCTGCAGACAGCTCACTGCCCCGCTGGAAAAGTGTGTGCCATCTGGCCCAGAATGGCAACTCATTCTGCCTTAGAGTCTATTCATTTTATTTTATTTATTTATTTATTTTTAGAGACGGGCCTTGCTGTGTTCCTTAGGCTATATTTGAACTCCTGTGTTCACGTGATCCTCCTCCTGCCTCAGCCTCCTGAGTAGCTGGGAATTCAGGCATGCGCCACCATGCCCAGCTCTGTCTTATAGCCTTTTAAAAGGCCCCAGTCTATAGATGACCTAGAACTTGGCCGTGGGACCCACCTTTACCAGAACCACAGCTTGCAGGACCTCACTCCTATGTCCCAGAACTCAGCCCCGAGGCACCCATGGCCCAGGGCACAGAGATGAACTGGGAAGGCCTCCTCTCTGCTTTTACTACACCTGTTAAACCATGGTATGCCAGGCCAGGCCCATGTGGCTAGATCTTTTTCCCTGCCCTTGGCCTGGGCTGGTCCACTTTCTTCTTGAAGAGCCATTCCTCCGTGGACTCACCCTGGTGTGGCTTCACACCTTTGCCCACTTTGCATTGACACCAGCCTCTCCACTTGGCCTCCATCCTGGTTCACTGGTGGGGAAGCCCCCTGCTCAGGGCACTGCTCCCCAGTGCTTACTGCCCCCAGGACACATCTGAGAACCACAATATTAGTACCATGAGGACAGAGCTCTGTCCATATCGTGCATAGCTCCCTCCCCAAGCACCAAACTCATTAAGAGACGACATACATTTTGCAGTAACTCCTCACTGGTCACCCCACATCTGCTCCGACCCCCTTCACTTATTCTCAGAGTGATTCTGTTAACATGTAGGCATCATTATATCATGCTTTGCTCAACACCTCCAGCGGCTTGCCATTGCATTTGGGGTGGACGCCAACATTCTTGCAGGTGCCTACATGGCCTTCAATGCCCCTGTAGCTCCCCAAGCTGGTCTCCTACCATCCCCCTGGCTCACCGTGCTCCAGGCAGATGGGCCGGCTTCAGAGCTTTTGTGCTGAAGGCCCCTTTGCCTGGAACGTCTTTGCCTGGATGTCAGCGTAGCCCCCTCCCTCTCTTCCTTCAGGCTTGCACTTTCCTGGCCACATTTAAAAGTGTAACCCCCCTCCCATCACCCTGACACTCCAACTTCTCCTCCTTGGCTCTGTTTTTCCTCCAAAGCACTGATTACCATCTGTCACACTGAAGGTTTCACTTGTTTGCTTCATGTATTGTTTCTCTCTTGCTAGAATATAAATTCTATGAGGGCCGGGATTTTTGTCTCTTTTCTTCAGAGTCATTGCCCCAGCACCTAGAACAGAGTCGATACATAGTAGGTGCTTGATAATTACTTGCCAAATGAAGGGATAAAGCAGGGTATCTTCCACTGTGGCTCTGCCATGATTTTTCCCCCGAAGCTCCAGGAGCAATGGCCACCCTGGACTTGGAGCAGCACCAGCGTCTGCTTTCCAGCTGCGTCTCATTCTTGGCCTCTTCCATCCTGTTACCTGCCTCAGATTCCGTTTGTTTCCATCCTCCCTGGGCTCATGCCCATGGTGGGGTTAGCTGTGCCTCACTCACCACATCTGGTGGTCTTAGAGTGTCAGAAAGGTGAGGGTTTTTTTGCTGAAAAGCACAAGGAGAGGGAAACTGTAGGAGGTGGAAAGAAGGGAGCTCATACTTATTGAGCATCTCACCTGTGCCAGACACTTCATATGTATTATCTCCTTTGGCCCCATAACAACAGTGGGAAGTGGGTTTTGTTCTCCCAGGTTTACAGATAAGGAGATCAAGGCCAAGTGTGTGCTTTAGGGTAATGGAGCTGAGAGTTCACCCCAGAGCAGCTTTTTGCACTTTCTGGTTGTCTGTATTTCTTTGCACTATGCATTTTTTTTTTTTTTGAGACAGAGTCTCACTCTGTCACCTAGGCTGGAGCGCAGTGGCATGATCTTGGCTCACTGCAACCTCCCCCTTCCAGGTTCAAGCGATTCTCCCACCTCAGCCTCTCGAGTCACTGGGACTACAGGTGCGTACGATCCCACATGGCTAATTTTTGTGTTTTTTTGGTAGAAATGGGATTTCACCATGTAGGCCAGGCTGGTCTCAAACTCCTGACCTCAAGTTATCCACCCACCTCGCCTCCCAAAATATTGGGATTATAGGTGTGAACCACTGCTCCCAGCCTGCATTTTTATTATTTACTTTTTTATTCCCTCCGAGCTTTATTAAGGCATAATTGACAAATAAAAGTTATATATATTTATGGCATACAGTGTGATGTTTAAATATATATATACATTGTGAAATGACTAAATGAAGCTAGTTAATGTATCTATCACTCCACATTCTTGTCATTTTTTGTGTGTGCATGAGAACATTTAAGATTGACTCTCTTAGCAATTTTCATTACTAATAACTGGAGTCACCATGCTGTACAACAGATCTCCAGAACATATTCATCCTGTCTGACTGACACTCTGTACCATCTGACCAGCCTCTCCTGATTCCCCGACCTTGCCTTTGGAAATGCTGCCCGCACTCTGTCCACTCCCACCACCCTCCCCGTCTCACCCTCCTGGTAGCTGCATTTACCTGGTCTGCTGGCAGCTCAGTGGTGAGCTTCCTTGGGCAGTGTGGGTGTTTTTCTGTATCTCGGGGTGGGGGAATGCTTATCTGTGGTCCTGATATCTGGATGCCGTAACCCATCCTGGCGTGTCTACTTAGGGGTGAGAGGGTAGGTGCAGCAGAGGCCATATGGGGGAGGGATGAGTCCTCCTGTTATATGGATATCCTGAGATTCTAAAGCAAGTGGTAATAGGGCCTGCAGGGTGCAGCCTGGGTGATGGGTCCTCAATGTGAACCTCATCTATTTCGAGCTTTATGAGTCACAAAACAGGGAGTCAAAGGCAGCCAAGAAAGTGGCACCCCTAGGGAATGAGCAGATGGATCCCTGGGCCTGCCACCATCTTAGGAAATCAGGTCTCTGATCCCCCTCCCCAGTCTCTTCCCCTGTGAGGTGAGAGATAACAATACCTCCCTCCCTTCTCCCTCCTCACGAGTCTGACAGTCTGATGGGGATAAATGAAATAATGATTCTTAAGCTCTTTTCTCCTTCGTGTAATTTGATGTATAAATCCAAGGAAATATGATGAGCTTAACTCCTCAATATAATAAGCACCCAGACGAGAAAACTGCATGTTTGTATTTTTGAAGAAAAACTAGAGGCAGCTAAAAAAAAAAAAAATTGAGCACTCATGATCTAGCAGGAGGATTCTTTGCCATTGTCTGTGGGATTTCTCCCTCCCTTTTGCACCATAACTCTATCTCCAGGCCCCTGCATCAGAGGGAGCCCATGATGGATGGACGGATGGATGCGCCTTGTCGGGGTGTTTCACCACAATTTCCCTTGGGGCAGTCTGTCTGTTGGCAGAACACACTGCCTCCCGAAAGATGGTATCTCTTGCAAACTCGACAGCTAACAGACAGCTCCTCTCCTTGTATATTTCCCCAAAGAAGAACTGTCTTAATCTGTTTTCTATATGGCATATTTTATTATAATCCATATACGACTTGCAGGTTTCCAGTCCTTCATCCTGAGCCAAATAACGAAGGAGAAGGAGTCAGAGGCTTGGGGAGCTCATGACATTCGTGGCGTTTGCATTTTTAAATGACCTGGGATTTAATTACTCACTGTGCTCCCATGTTGCACTTTCAGACTCATCTCGCCTGCATCCTGTTAATGAGCTCGGTGGCTCCAACAACCCAGTGGAAGCTTTGCTTTCAGTGCATTGGGTGGCAGGCTTGGGGCACCTGTGTCAAAAGCTTGTGGCTTTGATCTGCACCCAAGAGGATGGCTGCCCTGTCTGTAGCCCTAAAGAGAAGAAGCCATTGCTCTTTGCTGGAAATTTCTGTGTGTGTGTGTGGTTTTTTTTGTTTGTTTGTTTGTTTTTTTGCTTTTATTTGTGCTTTTTTTGGTTGTTTTTAAAAGACTTTCTATGCTTCAATCCTTGTTTGTCTCGGAGGTTTTTTCTTATTTAGAAACCGATTTGCTTCGGTTTGCACAGAAGCTGTCTCTGGTGTGATGGATCGTGCTGGAAGTCACCCAAGGAGTATCTCTGTTCCCAATTAGAAGTAGAGGCAGAGCTGCTTACGGGGGCCCAGGGAGGCGGCTGGCTTGGGTGACAGCTGCTGCCGCTCTGGAGAGAGTAACGATCCATGGGTTTATATCCATGTGTATAAAATCAGGCTAATTTAAAGATGAATTATGTGTGTGTTTTGGACCATTTTCTTTTAATGTTAAAGGTTCAATGGCTCCTGTCGGGTTATGTGGGCCCCAAGTTTGTGTGAGGTTCAAAATGAGTACACTTTCAAAGAATTATTAAATCCTATATCCAGATGGGCCATATTCAAATAAAATTGGATAAATGAAATCCCTAAGGGCTCAATAGAAGTGTGTTTAGGACATACATTGTGCAAGGGCTTGGACCTGTTACCTTTCTTCCTCCTTCATTCTGGGACCTCCTGTGGTCAGGAGGCAGAGTGCACCCTGTGTTTGTTTGTAGGGAGGGATGGCTACCCTTTCACTCTGACCTTGCAGGCCTTACCCATCATGCTTTGCAACCAGGGTTTGCAGTGATCCGCTAGAACTCTGCTCTTGGAATGGCACTCGGCAGCTATTACGTGGACAACATTAAGAACCACAGTAAAATTCTTTCCATTTTTTGGAAGCAAAGTCATAGTTAATGTTATTTTTAATGCTGCAAATCTGCACTGTCCATTATGGTAGCTGGTAGCCACCTGTGGCTATGGAGCTCTTGAAATGTGGCTAGTCTGAATTGAGATACGCTCTAAATGGAAAATACCCACCAGACTTTGAAGACAATGCAGATAAAAGAATGTAAAATTTTGCGTCCATATTTTTATGTTGATTTCATGTTGAATGGTAATGTTTTAGAAATACCAGATCGGATACAATATCTTATTAAAATTAATGACACCTGACTTTCTTCCTTTTTCTACATGTGACTACTAGTAAGTTAAAAATTACATAAGTGGCCGGTATTACATTTCTGTTGGACAGTGCAGCTGTACCATTGAAATCAAAACTATTCAAACTTAGGGAATAACATCTAGCATTTTTAGGATACTTACCATGTTGTAGATTCTTTACGTATATGATCTAATTTTGAATCTAAGTTTTGAATAGAATAAAACAAAAGTTGATAAGCCTCATCTTCTACCCTATTTATCACACTAGTTTTTTTGTGTGTGGATTCTTTTAGCGTTTCTTTATGTAGCACATTGCCATGTTTGATTCGCCAACACTGAAATAGATACTATGACCACACCCATTTACCACATATGGAAATGGAGGCTTAGGTTACGTAGCTAGCCCATGGTCCCTTTACTAATACGTGGCAAGGCTAGGGATTGACTCCAGGGCTGTCTGAAGGCAGAACCTATGGGAGCAAATCAACTATTGTGGTAATTAGGGAAGCAAGATGCCACTACATGTCTCTGTGACCCTGGGGGAATCTCTATATCTTTCTGTGCTTCACTTTCCTGTTTAAGGGATTGGACTCTTGATGCTATTGGAGATCCCTTCTTGCTTTTTCCATTTCACTTTTCCCATTTGGTTCTGTTTTCCCTCTTGATTCTTCTACTGTGCCTATCTGGTAAAGTTTGGTTAAAGAGGACCAAGAGAGTAGATTCAATTATGGGAAAGCAGGATGGAGGCATATTTATCAGAGGAGGAAGGAAGAGCAGGAGAAGGAAGAGAGGGGCAAGTTCACTATTGATGGAACATTCTATAGTGGGTAGATACTGTCGCAGAATGGTGAACATTGCACGGGGATGATCGTATAGAGCAGAACCCAAAACCATGGCACAAACCTGCCCTCATCCTCAGTTAAAGATCTGCCTTTTATCCTGAAATATGAAAACTATGGAGTGAGTCTCAGAATGTAATGAAAATGCATAAAGGTTTGGAAAAAGACTTTTCAAGGAAGGACCACAGAGAGACAGGGTGGAGTCCATGCAGCCTAATTAGGTGACTGGGTCTGAAGGCAGATTGAGTTTAAGGCCGGGCTTTGCCCCTTACCAGCTGTGTGATATCAAGCAAGTTCTCAACCTCTATAAGCTGCACTGCCCTCATCTGTAAAACGGGTTAATAACTGTGCTCTTGGGTGTAGTGGGGATTGATACGTAGCAGTAACAGCTGCTAAGTTTTGAATGTTTGCTGCTTGCCAAGCCCTCTGCATGTACACGGATGTACCAAAGCTCATTCAGGGCTCAGCCTAAGCCTGTCAACCACTAATAAGAATACAATGAGAGGGGGCCATTGTCGTGATTTCAGTGGCAACTTGGAAATATCATTCAGCTGCATTCTCATCCTGCTGTGTGGCTGTTGGTGGTTACTTAACTTTTCAGGGTCTCGGGTGACGCATCTACAAAATGAGATGATTGAATTAGATGATCTATAAGGTCTTTTCTAGCTCTAAAATGCTGTACCATTCTGGGAAATAACACTAATAAATAGGATTTATTTAGTGCTGCGAAGGCTAAGGGGGATACTAAAATATGAACTTCAACTCTATGTATATATGATTATTATAAGTTTGAGGGGTTGTGACCAGCTGTTCTCTTTTGACTGAGGACAGGACATGAGACAGCACACACTAATTGCTTTAGAGTAGACATTTGGAAGACTTTTCTGACTTGGGAGAAAGAGTAATATGTCATCAGAGCAGGCTATGGAGATGTACTCCATGAACTCATTAAAGCAGACAGTTGGCTGTTTGTCTGACACTCTCCTTAAATGTAACTTCATCATACAGGCCTTCCCTGACTCCCTGATCTAAGGTAGACCCCGTTACCTATATTCTTTCACATTTCATTCTGTCGTTTTCCTCCCTAACATTTACGACAATTCGTAATTGCATTTTGATTTTGTATTTTGCATTTACTATCTGTCTCTTTGGACTGTAAGCCTCCTAAAGGCAGGGCCTGTCTTTATTTGGTTCACCTCCTATGTCCCTAGTCCCAGCACAGTGGTGGTCCTATGGCAGGTGCTCAGTAAATATCTGTTGAATGGATAGATGGATTCAGAGGTGGCTGATTTCGTGGTAGCGCTCCTTGATGGGAAGTGGATCCTTTGCTCTCCTTTTTTGGTAGGAAAAATCCCAAAGACTTTGTTTCTCAAGAGATTTTAGATGCTGTTTCTCCTTCCCACCTTCTTTTTCTGGGGGCCGGTCACCCACAGGTGTGCATTTGTTCAGTTTTAATGGATGCCCGCTTGCCGCTTCCTCATGGATTGGTCAGACTCCCTCTGTTTCTGGTGGAGGAAGTGGAAAGTGCAGGTAGGATTCTGTTGGAGTCAGGACAGAGCCCAGTGGAGCAGGCTCGGTGGTGCTGCTCTTTCCATTTGCCCCTCCAGATCCATGCTTTTCCGTCTTCACCCTGCTCGGAGCTCGGTAGGCTGTGTGAAGGGGGCTCCCTTCCCCTCTCGCTTCTGTTTAAGGTTGGCCCTTGGGAGAGGACGCAGCAGGCTGATGGAGGATGGATGGAGAGGGTGGTTGGATTGTTTCTTCCCTTGGTTCCTGGCTTCTGCAAGCCATAGCTCCTGTCCTGGGGCTCTGCTAATGGTGCTATCTCCAGGTTCTTGCAAGCACTCTCCCTCTGTCCCTCCAAAAATAGCAGCAGCGGTAATGGCCCCTCTCCACCCTCACCCCTGCCCAAAACCCACCTGGGATGCTTTAACCTACCTTGTCAGATCCCTTAATCACCTCTCCCCATCTCTGTAAATAGTCCCTACACTAAACTCTCAATACCCCCAAAAGAGCAGGCCATTCATCTCTCCTGTTTTCTGGGACACCACTGCATCATAGTTCCTGCCCCCAGCTTACCTGGTGCAATGGTAAGGACCACATATCAAACTGTGGCAGTGTGGGGGTATGAGGTCCAGGATCAGAGGAGAGGTTGAAGAAATATTTTAGTAAATCAGAATGATCTCCTGTACCTTAGGTTTGCATCTTTAATTAAAAAAACAGCAGGGGATGGTGGCTCATGCCTATAACCCCAGTGCTTTGGGAGGCTGAGGCAGATGGATTGCTTGAGGCCAGAAGTTTGAGGCTGCAGTGAGCTATGATAGTGCCACTGCACTCCAGCCTGGGTGATAAAGTAAGACCCTGTCTCTAAAAGAGAAAGAAAGAGAGAGAGAGAGAAAGAAAGAAAGAGAAAGAAAGAAGGGAGAGAGAAAGAAAGAAAGAGAGAATGGAAAGAAAGAAAGGAGGGAGGGAGGGAAAGGAAAGAAAGGAGGGAAGGAAAGAAAGAAAAGAAAGAAACACACCAACCCTCTGTCAGGTCAGGAGTTTGGGACACCTGGAGGAAGGGGTTCAGCTTCTCTCTGGTGTCTCTTCTGGGCAGGGCTGGCTCGGGTTGCCACTTCTCTGCTGGCAACCCCAGGGCTTCTCTTCTCAAGCCCCAGGTAGCTGATCAAACTCCTGATACCTTCAGAAAAAAAGGTCGTGGCGTGGCTGTGCAGTGGCCACTCTGCTCATCCGGGGCTTGTGAGGCATTCGCCGTCGCTCCTCTTCCCGTGGCTTTTGAAGCTCTCACTTCCCCCTGGGTTGAAGAGAACAACCTTTCTGAGGCTGAACTAGCTTTTCATGGAGGAAAGCAGAGCTGGGCAGCCAGCATGGCCATGAGGAGGTCATGGGGTTGACAGACAAGAGCTGGGATAGGAGGGAATGAGCATACTTGGTTGCCAGCATTGTGCATTGCTTGAGTTTTTGAAACACTTTCCCGCAAATGAACACATGTCCCCTTACAAAACCACCTGTGGGGTTGGGTATTGTTACCCCTGCTTTGTGGATGCAATAAGGGCTCCACGCTCCTGACGCCTGCCTTGTCCGATGTCATGGCTGGAGAGGCAGAAGCATGGCCGTGTGAGCCCACATCTACCCCGCACCCTTTCTGCTCTGGCTCAGCTTCCTCTGGGGGTGTGGGCATGGTCGGAATCTGTCTCTGGATTATGAAATGGAGATGGAAAAGCTGGACAGGGCTCCAGTGTTCCTCTCCCTCCAGGAGGAGAGAGCACAGGCCCCGAGTCCTCCTCAGGAGCCCTGGGCCCTGCGTGTCCTCCAGGACTGTCCCTCCTGCCCTGCCTGCTTCTAGTGGCCTGACCTGCCTTTCTATCTTTGTTTTTCAGAAGTGGAGCTTCCCCTGAAGAAGGATGGGTTCACCTCAGAGAGCACCACGCTGGAAGCCTTGCTCCGTGGCGAGGGGGTTGAGAAGAAGGTGGATGCCAGGGAGGAGGAAAGCATCCAGGAAATACAGGTATTCCCACACCTGCTGGGGACCCCACAGAGTGTTCCTGTCACCATAGCGCTTCCAGAACTCCAGCACCGGCTTGGCTCCAGATCCTCCCCTCAAGGGCCGGGGCTCAGTCTCAGACTGCCTTGTTTCTATGGTGGCCAGGAAGCTCCCAAATTCTTTTCTGACTTAACCTATCTTCCGAAGGAGTCATTATTGCCTTCACCTCGGTTCCCTTCCCTCTCTTCTGTCTGTCTATGCAAAGTGAATTTGTTGAGCCTAGTGAACACAGGGACTGTGCAGGGTCCCAGGGACACAGAGTGGACAAAACAGTCTGAATCCTTGTCCCCATGGAACCAAGAGTCCATTGTCTAGGCTTGAAACGTGGGAGCGTCTGCTCCAGCTACGGCCACGTGAGTCCGGCTTGCCCACCCCCCACCCTCACACCCAGCCTCACCGGTCCCCATGACTGCACACTCCGTTTCCCAGCAGTGCCCAGCCATCCCTCAAGCCCATGCCGTCCTCACCCTTCAGGCGGATGGCTGCTCTGTCCCCATGGGTCCACTACCCTCTATCCATGCCACTTCTAAAACTCTCACTGAATAGGATTATAAGGGTGCACACCTACCGTTTCTTTTTCTTTTTCTTTTTCTTTTTTTGAGACAGAGTCTCGCTCTGTCACCCAGGCTGGAGTGCAGTGGCATGATCTCGATCTCGGCTCACTGCAAACTCTGCCTCCCGGGTTCAAGTGATTCTTGTGTCTCAGCCTACCGAGTAGCTGGGATTACAGGCATGTGCCACCATCTGGCTGTTTTTTGTATTTTTAGTAGAGATGGGGTTTCACCATATTGGCCAGGCTGGTCTCAAACTCCTGACCTCAAGTGATCGCCTGCCTCAGCCTCCCAGAGTGCTGGGATTACAGGCGTGAGTCACTGCACCTGACTTCACACCTACCATCTCTTATTTGTTATTTGTCTGGAATCCTCATTGTCTAATACAATGTTTGCCATTGAGTATTGTAATATGAATTGATCCTATTATGAAATAATAGCATTGGTAGTTAATATTAAATTATTAAAATTAAATTGTATTTCTATTAAATTTATATTACATATTAAATGTTTATATTTTATGCTATACCTATTGTGCATATTTAATATTCAATAAATTTATTAATTTATATATTAATTTATTAAAACTACAATTAAATTAATAATAATGGAATAATACATTGCTGGTTGGCTTGGTAAGTTCCATCGATAGCCAGGGCCAATGCGGTCATGCTCACCAGTGTCCCCGGGGCCTTTCCCAAGCTGGGTAGAGTTGAGTCTCGATAAAGGCATTGAATGAATCACAGAATTTGGCCTTCTTCTCCGCCATTCCCGTGTTAAGATGAATTGTCAAATCTTTTCCATTGAGTTGCCACAACATGGCTTGTGTTTGTTCCCTCCTCTCTTTTCCACGAGCTGCAGCCCTAGTGAAGATCCTCATTAACTGTCACCTTTATTTGTCTAAGGGACCTTGGGGTCATATTTGACTCCTGCTTGTCTCTCACACCTGACATCCTGCTCATCAGGAGCCTTGTCGACTGTGCCTTCAACATAAGCCCAGTTCTCCCGCATCCCCTCTCCCCGCACCCACCACTGCTACCCTGGCCCAAGCTGCTCTCATCTTTTGTGTGAACTGCTGCGGTTGTCTTCTCAGTGGTCTCCCTGATAGTGCTTGAGGGGCAGTCTTTAAAAAAAAATATTTTTTAACAGCAGTTTTAGGTTCACAGCAAAATGAAGAGGATGGTACAGAGATTTCCTGTGTACCCCTGGTATAGCCTCCCCCATGATCAACATCCTCCACTAGAGTGGTGCATTTGCTATAATAGATGAGCTGCACTGACTCATCATTATCACCCAATGTTCAAAGTCTGCATGACGGTTCACTCTTGGCGTTGTGCATTCAATGGGTTTGAACAAATGTGTAATGGCATCTGTCCACTCTTACGGTATCATACAGAAGTTTCACTGCCCTAAAAATCCTCTGAGCTCCACCTGTTCATCCCTCCCTCCGTCCTAATGCCTGGCAACCACTGGCCGTTTCCCCGTCTCCATAGTTTTGCCTCTTCCAGGATGTCATATACTTGGACTCACAGTATGTTGCCTTTTCAGATTGGCTTCTCTGATTTAGTAACATTCATTTAAGGTTCCTTCATGTCTTTTCATGGCCAGATAGCTCATTTCTTTTTAATGCTGAATAATATTCTGTTGTCTAGATACACCACAGGAGAGGGAGCTTTTTAAAATTTAAGTCTATTCTTATCATTTCTGTGCTCAGAACCCGCTACCGCCCCTGCTATCTGAGAGTGAAATTCAGGGCCTTCTCACCCCTCTCTGACTCCACTCTTCCTCTTTTCCTCACCCACTCCACTCCAGGCACAAGAATCTCCTTCTGTTCCTCCCAGAACATGCCAGGCCTGTCCCAGACCTCAGGCCTTTGCCCTGGCCATTTCCCCGGATGTACACTTGTCTCTCACCCTCACCTTCTTCATTTTTTAATTTTTATTTTTTATTATTTATGAATTTATTTATTTTTGAGACAGAGTCTCGCTGTGTCGCCCAGGCTGGAGTGAAGTGGTGCAATCTCGGCTCGCTGCAACCTCTGCCTACTGGGTTCAAGTGATTCTCCTGTCTCAGCCTCCTGAGTAGCTGGGATTATAGTTGCGCACCACCACCTCTGGCTGATTTTTGTATTTTTAGTAGAGACGCGGATTCACCATGTTTGCCAGGCTGGTCTCGAACTCCTGACTGCAGGTGATCTACCCACTTCGGCCTCCCAAAGTGCTGGGATTACAGGCATGAGCCACGGTGCCTGGCCTTCCTCTTCTCTCAAAGATGTCCCTGACCGTGCCGTACTTCATCTCACACCCTTGCCCTGACTGCCCCTGCCTCCCGATTCCACTCTGCTTTTCTTGTTCTTTTCCATCACTCTTATCATCATCTAATGTACTTTCTAATTTACTTACTTATTATGTTATTGTTTATTGTCTGTTTTCTTCCAGTAGAATGTAAACTCCTCGAGGGCAGGATCCGTTGCCAGTTTTGCTTGCTTATATCTCATAAGCACCCAAACAGTGCTTGGTGCTTACCAGGTGCAACATAAATATTTGTTGAATGGACACATGAGGGAACAGATTCCAGGAATCGCCCTGTCCCCAGTTCTTCCCGTCTCTGACATGTCCTACTTTGCTAGCTGTCCTTTTGTTCTAGAGCAAAACTCTGCTAAAAAACTGTTGTTTCCCACTAAATAAATCGAAAAGGATGAGCGTGACCTTCCTGGGCGTGTCCTCTCCATTCCTAACCTAGTTTTCAGGCTTATTTTCCACTACTCCTTTCGCCGCTCTGTTCTTCAGCCTTCTTCCCTCCATGCCATTGGTCCCGCTGTGCCCTTTATCTGGCATGCCTTTTCTTCCATCTCCATGTGTACAAATCTCACTCATCTTTTAGACTCAACCCCAGTGCCACCTTCCCCATCAAGCCTTTCTTGATCTCCCCTCCAGCCAGAGGGATCTCTTCTTGCCTTTGGTGTTTAAGCCACCTACTGCTTTCTTCCTTGTGTGTGTGTATGTGACTTTCAGATTTTGAAGTCAAGGTCTGTCATCTCTGTGTTACTTGCTAGAGTATTTTTTTGCTTAGTTCATGTAATTTGACAGAATCAATGCATGGGGCAGAGCCACTGCCCAGAGCCTTGATGCTCTGGGTATGTGGGTCCCTTTCCCTTTAAAGCTGGTGGTGGGCTTGAGTTCTTCTCATGCAGCACTGGGCTGGTGCTGTATTGTCGTCATCATGTCACCATCATCTCCTATGTAAACTGAAGGTCTGCTGAGTGCAGCGCATGGGTCTGCTGTCTACTGTGCTAGAAGACAAAGCCAGGACCATAAGTCAAATGAGTTTACGTGTTTTTATTGACTTTGCATTATTAAAATACACATGTAGCGAATGGATTATGCTTTTTCATTCATTCATTCATTTGACCAAAGTTTCATGAGGGCTTCCTCTGTGCAGGCACTGTGCTGGGTGCTAGGGACACAGAGACCAAGAGATACCTATCCTCTCTACTCATATTCGAATGTGACACACAGGCAGGAAACAAGGAATACAAATAAAATAAGTGCATTTTAGGATAAAATCCATGAGAACAAACAGTATGAAGATTCAGCATCAGAGTAGAGTTCCTGAGGAAGATGAGGGATTTTTTTTTTTTTTTTGAGATGGAGTCTCGCCTCGTCACCCAGGCTGGAGTGCAATGGTACAATCTCAGCTGACTGCAGCCTCCACCTCCCAGGTTCAAACGATTCTCCTGCCTCAGCCTTCTGAGTAGCTGGGATTACAGGTGCCCACCACCACGCCCAACTATTTTTTGTGTTTTTAGTAGAAACGGGGTTTCACCACATTGGCCAGGCTCGTCTCGAACTCCTAACCTCGTGATCCGCCTGCCTCGGCCTCCCAAAGTGCTGGGATTACAGGCGTGAGCCACCGCATCTGGTCGAGTTGAGGGATTTAACCTCAACCCTATGGGATGAGAAGAGTCAGGAAAGTGATGGTCCTGGGGAAGAGCTTTCTGGGCAGAGGAGCAGTGGGTGTGATGGCCCCAAGACAGGTCAGAGCTGGTTTTGTTGAGAGAACAGAAGACCTGTGTGGCCGGAGTATTGTGCCAGGGAAAAAAGAGCCCAGGAGTTTGACAGGTGGGCCGAGACCAGACCACCTAGTTCCCACAGGACAGGGAAGTGGCTTTTGGTTCCATGTGATATAAAGAAGGAAGCCATTTGGAAGATTTTGATCAGGGCCGTGAATTTGTATTTCATAAAGATCCTGTTGCCTGCTGCATGGAGAGGAGATTGGATGTGGGGCCAGCAATGGAAGGAGGGAAATCAGGAGATTTTTGCAGTATTCCAGGCCAGAGATAATGTAGTCTTTAAAAAGGATTTTTTTTTTTTAAACACAACCACAAACCGCTGTTATCACCATAAAGACTGTTTAGAGTAACAGGGAGAAAAGTTATTTTAAAATGTGTTTATTTTCCAGATAATGTCCTTGGACAAGGAATGCATGTCTGTTACTGGGGGGTCAGCTGACTTTGTAGTTGGACACCCCACCCCCGTCGGCGACTCCTGATGCAGGACTCCCCCTCCGCTTCCTGAGGTCTGAAACAAGCTTTGTTTGTTAGAAACTCCTGGCTCCTCCTGAATTATGTCGAGAGGCTTCTGGTGTCAGGGCCGCATCGCAGGAAATGCAGACACACTGGGTCTGCCGCCATCACATCTGAGGCCCAGGGCATAGACAGAGGCTTTAGAGTCACAGGGAAGCTGATGGGCAGAGGGAGGATGGAGCCTCAGGGAGAAGAGAAGTCAGTTTACTCCCAGATATGGAGGCCATGTGACACTCTGGGGACTAGCTCAGCTGCCTCTACCAGTCTTTCACCTTCCAACCCAGAGTCCATATTGCGGGTAATAAATACCCTTATAATGAAAAATGAGAGTCGGAGTTGTACTGAGATGCCAGAGGCTATGACCTTTAAATTCGAGGCACTTGGAACTTACCATGATTAAGTGACTTCAAGACCTGGAAAGTTTGCAAGATGGTTCTACGAACAGCAACAACAGTCATAACCAGACCTTATATTTATACTATGTCTTTGCCCCAAAGGCTGCAGAGCATTTGACCTGTCACTGTCTCAGTCGGCTTTTGCTAGTGTTCCCACCTACAGGTCAGGAACTCAAGAGACTTATACTGTGAATGGGGGCTGACGTTTCCTAGTTATGGGCCAGAGGTCATGTCCAGCAGACAATGCTTCTTCTCTGTTAGATGGTTAAGGCTGGCTCAGAGACCCTTTAAGTGCTGTCAGCTGGTGGATTCCCAAATAAACCTAGTAGAAAAGGCAAAGAAGAATTTACTAGACCTGTTTTGAGTTCTTTGGATGGATTGGGTGACTAGAAGTGTCCTGATCCCTGTGATTTAGAGCAGAACATTCTAGCCAGGGGCAGTGGTGGAAGATCACTGCCTGGTGGCTCACCCCGGGCTTCCTGCTTTGAGGACAGGCCAGAGGTGTCATCCAGGAGGCGGCTTAAACAGCGATGGTTATCAGACAACAGTGCAGTGTGTGCCACTGTCTCAGCCTTCTCAACATATTTGTGATCTTTGACCCATCACCACAAGGAAGAGGAGATGGGGTTACCCTGTGTAGTATGGTACTTGTTCCCCTTACTAGCTCCATCTTATGCCATCTCTCCTTGAGCCACTAAGCACTGGTCACACTGGCCTTTCTGCTCCTTGGACAAGCCGTGTTCCTCTCCCTGCCTCAGGGAGTTTGCTTATGCTGTTTCCTCTGCCTAGAACCTTTTCCCTCCCTCCCCTCTGTCCTCATTCACAAGGCCAGTCTTTGCTCATCCTCCACATCTCAACTTCTCAGCTCATGTTCTCATGTAGGCCTCCCCTGGCCCTTGGATTAGGGAAAACTCCCTCCTAACACCCTCTCATAGCACTTTGAACTTGCCTACCACTGTTTTGAGAAGAGTTGTAATTATATGGTGACATATGCACATTGTTTAAATCTGTTCTCCCTTTCCTAGACTGGAAAGTCCATTTGGGGCTGGGACTGTAGCCATTTTGCAGCTTGCCTAGCATGGAGCCTGCCACGTAGTCAGCACTAGATAAATGTTTGTAGATGGAATGAATGAATTCCTATTGTATAATTGGGGAAACTGAAGGATGAAGAGATGATGACTTGCCCTAGATCACACAGTGAGCCCATAAAGAAACCCCCAGGTGGCCAGGTGTGGTAGCTCATCTGCATGGTATGCCTGTAATCCTAGCACTTTGGGAGGCTGGGGTGGGAGGATCACTTGAGACCAGGTGTTCGAGGTCAGCCCGGGCAACATAGTGAGACCCCCATCTCTACAAAAAATAAATTAGCCAGGCATGGTGGCATGTGCCTGCAGTCCCAGCTACTTGGCAGGCTGAGGTGGGAGGATCGCTTAGGCCTGGGAGGTTGAGGCTGCATTGAGCCGTGATTGTGCCACTGCACTCCAGCCTGGGCAATAAAGTGAGTCCCTGTCTCAGAAAAAAAAAAAAACAAACAAAAACCCCTCTGGGCCCCCTGACATGGAGCCCAGTGAGCTCCATGCCCCTTCCCTCTTTTCCTACTCCCATTGTGGGGCTGGGTCCTCTGCTACAGTCTTTTATCCCTCCCTTAAGCCCAGAGGAACACATCCTACCTCCTTCCTTCCTCTAAAGGGAGTGACGTGCTTAGGCCCCTACATGGAGAGTATGCCAGATTACATCTGGAATTCTCAGCCACTGTGCTGAGAAATGAATGGGGAACCCTGAGCCGATGAACCTGACCTTGCTTTGGTCATGGCTTCACTGGATGATCTGGAGCACTCAAAACTGTTTTCAGCCTCAGCGTATTCACCTGCAAAATGGAAATTGGATTCTATGTTGCAATGTGACTGGCGGGCTGCTGGAGAGAGATAATTTAAAATTCATTATCTTTAAGCTCCATGACAAGTCGGGTACTAAATGAAAGTCTATTTTTCTTAAAAAAAAAAAAAAGAAAAAAAAGCAGTGGCTTATTATGAACAGCACATTCGTGTTAAATCTGGTCAGATGAACAGGAAGTTACTTGCTTTCATCAGACAGGGCAGGGTTCCAGAATGGCAGGGAAAGGAGAAACATTTTCATATTTCTGAGGTGGCCCTTTGGGAGCAAAAAGAAACATTACATTTACAAAAGTAAACATTTTGGCCCCACATAGAAAAGGGCCCCTACCAGCATAGTCTCTTGTTAGAAAACTCTTCTTGGGCAAAAAGAATGGAAAAAGGTCAGTGTTCTGGGAGGACTTGTCTGGAAGGGGCCCAAGGGCTTAGGAGAGCCTCGGTAGTGCCAAGAGTTCAAACTCCAGACAGCATTTCAGAGGGCCCAACTGCCCAAGCAAAGGCAGCGTCTTCACTTTGTTAAAAAATAACAACAAATCAGAACACCCTTAAAATTACTCTCTGATGGTTTTTCCCTTTGCATTTCGTTTCTCACCTTTTCTATTTTTTTTTTTCATTTCAGAGGGTTTTGGAAAATGATGAAAATGTAGAAGAAGGGAATGAAGAAGAGGATTTGGAAGAGGATATTCCCAAGCGAAAGAACAGGACTAGAGGACGGGTAAGTTGGGGATGACATGAGCGAGGAAAGAGATGAGGGAGGCTGGGGTGCCCGGCCAACGATTGATCTCCACTGCAGCTAGATGGAAATCATGGCCATGGTCTTACATGGAGAACGCTCAAAGGAGAAAACTCCAGAAGAGCTCTGATCCCAGGTCGTAGCCTGGAAGAGTTCAGAGCTGGCAAGAGGGAGGAGAGGAGGCAGAGGGGGTACCCTGAGTGGGTGGTGAGGTCTGGGGAGGGCTGAAGGGTGGGATCAGGGTGAGGGTGGAAGATAAGGAGAATGTGCCTGTTGTCACCACTGCTTGGTTACTAAAGAAGGCTGGACATTTCCTGCCTTGTCCCTGGTGCTGTGCCAGAATGACAGAGTCAGGGTACCTGCTTTTGGGGTACATGGTCACAGGAAGGGGAACATCACACACTGGGGCCTGTTGTGAGATAGGGGCTGGGGGGAGGGATAGCATTAGGAGATATACCTAATATTAAATTACGAGTTAATAGGTGCAGCACACCAACATGGCACATGTATGCATATGTAACTAACCCGTACATTGTGCACATGTACCCTAAAACTTAAAGTATAATAAAAAAAATAAATAAACCATAATCATGACTATAAAAAAAAAAAGAAGTTTGCCGGGGTAGCAGGGGGCTGCAGCTGGTGGCTCCCAGTGGGTTTGGCATGAGCTCTGGAGGCTTGAGACCATCCCAGGGGTCCTCGGATGGGACAAGGAAAAAGCCAGAGCCTGGGGAAGGGCAGAGGGGAAAAAACCCAGGTGGAAGGAATAAAAACAAGAGACTGGTCAGGCACTTCCAGGCATTCAGGTTGAATCTAGAGTTCACGCCCGAAGGGGCTTTCTGTGGTGGCCGTCTGGGGTCTGCAAGGGCATGTGACAATAACCAGGTGGAGAGGGACCTCCAGAAGTAAACTGCTGCTGTCCACCTGGAAAATGGACTCTCAGGCTTGAGAATCTCACCCCTTCAGGCTCTAGGCGGGACTCTTACCCCTCCCACGGATAAGCACTTAGTCCCAGGCATTCTGTGGGTTTGCTGCCAATGATAACCATGGCAGGGCTCTCCACTCTTGTGGTTCTCATGCCTCAGCAGACATTAGGATCACTGAGAGAGCTTATTGAATGCAGATTCCCAGGACCCCACTCAGAAATTCTGCTTTAGGAGCTCTGGGGCAGGGCTTTATACTATATTAGAAGCAAGTTCCCAGGCGGCCGCTGCACATCGGCCAGCGCGGCACACACTGAGCTGAGATGCTCCAGCCTGTCGCATGTGGGGCTGTGCAGCCTGTGCAGGGGCTGGGCGGGCAGCTCTCTGATGGTGCACTTCTGGTACAGCTGGGACCAGCCTCATCACTTAGCAAGATTTTGGCTATCTTGGCTCGTCTCTTCTTTTCTCCTACTTTTTGTTGATTTGTGTTTGTTTGATTTTTTTTCTGGAGTATTTGAAAACAAGTTCTAGACATCTTATCATTTAACTGACACATATCTCAGTGTGTGTCTTTAACAGATATCATTATCATATCCAATAAAATAATAGTTATAATACCTACTATCTAGTCCCTTATCATTTCCCCTTTTGTCAAAAAATGCCATTTTATAGTTGGTTTGTTTGAAACTGAAGTCTCCCGGATTCCACAGCATACCTCTTCTGTATTCTCTTCTGTATTGCACCCCACCACACACATTTTTTTTTCTCCATGCCATTAATTTGTTGAAGAATTTGGGTTGTTTGTCTTGTGGAACTTCTCACATTCTAGAAGTGGTGGGAGGGTGGTATTTAATGTCTTTCTCCATCCTCTGTGTTTCCTGAAAACTGGTAGTTTGATTAGAAACTTGCTTAGATTCAAGGTGTGTGCTTGTGTGTGTGTGTGTTTGTGTATGTGTGTACAAACATTTCTTGTGGGGAGGTAAGAATCCTTCCTAGGTGGTGATAGGTTCTTCTCGTATCACATCAGGGGCATACCCTGTCCAGTTCTGCTTTGGGTGGTGTTTTAATTGATCAGTAGATTTGAGTGTTGTCAGCCTGATCTCTCCCTTATACAGTTCCTCATCAAGTTTTTACTTAATGATTTTTGCAGCCATTGATAAACTGGCCTAGACCCATTCACGGAGGGGAGGGTATTAAAAAGAAAATTGAATTCCATTATTAAAGGAGACTTTTGAGCTTGGACTTCCTGGGCCTTTGGTGAACTCCCAAAGAGCTGTGCATGTCCAGACCCACTTGCTTTCCTTCTCTCACCCCAACCAAACTGATGCAAGTGTGGGAAATGGTCCTCTTCACACCTCTCCCCAACCTACATTTAGAAGATTGAGCTTGCAGTCAGTGGATATGAATTGGGTGTCTGTGAAAACATCAGCAGTCAGTGCAACCATGTATATTTACTGTGTACTTCCTGTAAACCAGGCAATGTGATGGGCTCTGTATAACAAGAGCTACCACATAGAGAGTGATGCCTTTGTGCCAGGTGCTTTAGACTCCTATCTCTATTTCTGCACTGTGCATTATGGCAGCTGCTGGCCACATGTGGCTACTGAGTCCTCAAAATGTGTCTAGTCCTAATGGAAATGTGCTGTAAATATAAAATAAATATGAAATTTTGAAGACTTAGTATGAAAAAGGAATGCAGAACATCTCATTCTTAATTTTTATATTAAATTATAAAACTATCATATTTTGGATATATTGTTAAATAAAATATATTATTAAAATTAATTGCACCTATCTATTTTTTTAAAAAAAATGTGCTGCTGGAAATTTTAAAATGATGAGTGTGGCTCACATTGTATTTCTATTGGTCAGAACTTCTTTCATTTCCACAAGCTGGTACTATTGCTCCCAGGGGGGTTAAGCAATTTGTTCAAGGTCACTCAGCCTAGTAAGGAAGAGGCTAAGATTTGAACACAGGTCTGTGCTTTCTCCTCTGAGTTCATGCCTGGCCCAGGGCCCAGCATATAGCCAATGATTAGCTTGTCGAATGAATGATTGAATGATGGAAAAGAGAAAGAAAAGTCGTATTTCAGCTGTAGGGGAGATGAGAGACACCTGAACACAGTGAGGGGGCTGGATGGAGCCTAGACTGGCTCTGGGCCCACCAGATACTGGCCAAGCAGCAGCTGAATGGTTCCATGTTGTACAGTGATACTGTGGACATGTTACCCATGCACGGAGCCATGGAAGGACCCAGAAGGCTGTGGGCAAGCCTCCTGTGCTGGGGTGTGTGAAGCTGCTGCACTCACAGCCTCAGTTCAGCTGTTTTGCCCATGCTTTATTTTTTATAATTATTATGTTTTAGAGATGGGGGCCTCACTCTGTTGCTCAGGCTGATCTGGAACTCCTGGCCTCAAGCGATCCTCTTGTCCGGGTCTCCCAAAGTGCTGGGATTACAGGCATGAGCCACCATACCCAGCTCATTGCCCACCATTTAAAGTGGTATATTCCAGCTGCTGCTGGCACTGGAGAACAACTATGCCCATTTGTCTTGTCAGAACCTAGAGGCAGTCTAAGTCTTGACACCTCTGTGTGTGGTCTCTGGATGGTGGCATTAATATCATCTGGGAGCTCATTAGGAATGCAGAAGCCCAGACTCCACACTAGATTAATGAGAATTAGAGTCTGCACTTTGACAAGCCCCCAGGTGCTTTGTGTGCTCACTGAGGAGGCCAGGGCTAAGGTAGGGATTACAGAATAGGCTCTGCTTTATTTGAACTTAGACCTTGCAAGTTCAAATTCCAGCTCTACCACTTACTACACGTTGGATGAATTATGTAACCTCTGTGATGGTGGGCAAATTGTATAAGTACCCTGGGCCTCAGTTTCTTCATCAGTAAGTTTTGAGTGCTTCATACTGCCTAGATATTATCAGGAGGGGGCAAGCAAAGGGAATAACTCTTGGAATTTTGATAATGGGTATTCTCTGAGTGGTGAGGGGAGCCCAACAATTAATAATTGTGTCTTTGGTAACTTCAGCCCAAGAAGTCAAAGCTCTTTAAAATTCATGAGATTCTTGTGAGTCATCCATGTGAGTATTACCAATTAATCAATTATCAATCAATCATGAAGTATTTATTTATGTACTGTGGTGTTCAGGTGCCTCTCAAACTTTATGTGCATATGGAGCACCTGAGGATTTTGTTAAAATACAAATTCTGATGCAGTAAGTCCATGGGGTGGGGGCTGAGCTCCTGCCTTTTTAATAAGCTCCCAAGTGATGCTGGAGCTGCTGGTGTCAGGACCACACTTTAAATAGCAAGGGTGTAGGCTGGGTGCGGTGGCTCACAACTGTAATCCCAGCACTTTGGGAAGCCGAGGTGGGAGGATGGTTTGAGCCCAGGAGTTTGAGACCAGCCTGCGGGCAACATGGTGAGAACTCATCTCTGAAAAAATTAGCCAGGCAGAGCGGTGTGCACCTCTGGTTACAGCTACTTGGGAGGCTGAGGTGGGAGGATCACTGGAGCCTGAGTGGTTAAGGCTTCATTGAGCTGTGATTGTGCTACTGCACTCCAGCCCTAGTGACAGAGTGAGACCCCATCTCAAAAAAAAAAAAAAAAAAGGCCTGGCACGGTGGCTCACACCTGTAATCCCAGCACTTTGGGAGGCCAAGGCGGGTGGATCACGAGGTCAGGAGATTGAGACCATCCTGGCTAACAGTGTGAAACCCCGTCTCTACTAAAAATATGAAAAATTAGCTGGGCATGCCGGCATGCACCTGTAATCCCAGCTACTCAGGGGGCTGAGGCGGAGAATCACTTGAACCCGGGAGGCGGAGGCGGAGGTTGCAGTGAGCCGAGATTGAGCCACTGCACTCCAGCCTGCATGACAGAGTGACTCCGTCTCAAAAAAAAAAAAAATAGCAAGGGTGTAGAGCAGTGGTTCTCAATTTTTTTGATCTCAGGAATTCCTTACACTGAGAGCCCCCAAAGGCTGTTATTCAGGTTATAACCAGTAATATTCATACCACTAATGATATTTGCCATTTTAGAAATTAAAAAGGTTGTCTCTCTGAACCTATTGTGGTTTAAGAGGTAGCCCAGTAAAAAAGATTTACAAGAAAAATAAAACAAATTTTAAACTAGAGAATACACACACAGTGACAGCATCGTCACGTGTCATGTCGCCTCTGGAAGACTCCACTGGATGCCTGTGAGAGCGTGAGAGTGAACAAGGCAGATCACGTTTTAGGACTCCTATGAAAATAGTTCAGACACTGCAGAGTCCCTGAAAGGACACTCAGGGATCCCCCAGGATTCCTGGGCCACACTGTTTGAGAACAACTGGTATAGAAGATCTAGCTCTCTGCTTGGGACCGAGTCTGTCCTAGTCAAGGGTCTTTCAGCTTCAATAAAAATGGGAAGGATTTGAAAAGCTGCCAGGCCACTGCCCCAAATTTGAGCAACCTTTGAAGATCCAAACCACAGGAAGAGCAGGAACATGGCAGGGACTTAGCATTGGGAAACAGGAACCCAGGTGGTTTCTGGCCTCTACTTCTCCCTCCTTCATTCTTCCTGCTTCCATGTGTACATGGCCCCATAAGGCTCCTGAATGTATGGGCCCTCAGTTCAAGTGGCCTATACTAGCTAGGGTCACTGTTTTCTAATTCCAAACCCCTTGGAGGTAGGATCTGATTGGCCCAGCTTGAATCAGGTGACTACTCCCGAGCCAGCCAATCAACTGTGGCCAGTGGGACAGGGCCATGTGGTACACTCATGGCTGCCATGGCCCAGCAGTGTGGGAATACTGGTAGAGAGGAATGAAGTAGGGTGGGCAGTTCTTGGGGAAGAAGGATTGGCTTCCTTTGGCTGGTCACCTTCAAAGCTTTCTATAACAGAGCCTGGAGACCTAGGTCCTGCTCCTTCTGCTGGCCCTGGGACTGTGGACAGGTGAGAACCTGCTTCATCAAGGGCCAGCTAGGAATCATAACACTGCTTGGTCTAACTCATAGGGTTATTGTAGGAATTAACTGAGTTACTATATGCAAAAGAGCTTTGCACGCTATGTGCTAAGTGTTAGGGGGTCATAATAAAGTATAGAATGCCATTTTTGCCCTCAAGGACCTTCGAATCAAACTGGGAAGAAGATGCTAATACCCATGATACCATTAGAAACAGCAGGCACCTGACTGTGCACTAACCAAAGGCAACAGGAGTTCAGAGGAGAGAGATCAGCCTAGGCAAGGAGGGGGGAAATGATGTGTTGAGTGCTTCCTGTGGACTTAGTGCTGTCCCCTGTGGTTTCACACACTCTCAGCTCAAACTCTCTCAACAGCTCTGCTATATAGGTGTTGGTGTGCTCATTTTACAGTTGAGAAAACTAAAAGTTAGAGAAGTAACTTGCCCAAGACACATAGCTGGTGTTTCAACCTGTGTCTATCTGACTTTAAGCGGATGCTCTTTTCACTCCTTAGTGTGGCAAGAGGAAGATTCTTGGAGGAGTGGAGGTTAGCAAGGGCAAAGCCTGGATCAGATGTGCATGGGCAGAGGAGAGCACAATCATGGGGTGAACCCGAGGGGATCAGCACTAGGTTGCCACTGGCTGTGTAAGTGGGTTGTAGATGGCAATGAATGAATGAACGTGTGAATGCGTGAACCTATGACCATGGGCTCCTGTCTTTCATCCCTTTGTCTAATGGTCTGAAAGTCCCTTGGGATGGACTAGGGGGGCAGTGTGGAGGTAGATCCCCCGTTAGGGTGGACTAGGGGGGCAATGTGGAGGTAGATCCCCCTTAGTGGGTTCTTTGAACAGCTCAGGGGTCAGTCGATGAGCTCCTGGATTAGGGTGTGCAATGGAAAGGAAATGCAAAGCCTAGATGGCCTTTGGAGGAAGAAGCAATAACATTTGGATACAGAGAATGAAGGAGAAGAACCAGAGATGACTGACTCGCTGCCTGCCTGATTGATTCATCCATTTGGCGAATGTTTATTAAGTGCTTCTTATGTGGCTGGCCCTGTGCCAGGTTCTGAGACTAGTGGGGGCCAAAATAAACATGGTCTCCACCATGTTTGTCTCTCCATGTAGGGGAGACAAAATCAACTTGTAAACCAACACAGGTATAATCTAATGCCAGACAGCGCTCAGTGCCATGATGAAATGGGAGGGGAAAGAAAACAATGGAGAGGGTGTGAGTGGATGTAAGTTGGTCAGGGAGGGCTTCTCTGAGGAGGTGACATTTGAGAAGGCCAAGTAGGATTCTGAGTTTCCAAACCTGAGATCTTCTAAGAGACCCTAAGAGTGCTGCTGCCTCAGGAAGAGTCCCTTGCATGTCCCCTGAAGTGCCCTATAGACACGATCCCCATTTTGCAATTGAGGAAACTGAGGCAAAGCGAGTGTGGCACAGAGTCACTCTGCTGGTCAGCCCTGCTGTAGGAGATGAAAACCTGGCTCCCACAGCACCCTCCCTTTCCTGCTGGCAGCTCCCCCAGAAGCCCTCGTACATCCAGTTCTGCTCGACTCCTCCCCTTCCCCATGGAGGTATTTTTAGTCTCCCAGAGCCCCTTCCCCAGTCTGCTGTTGCCTCGTCATTCTGCTTGACTTGCTTTCACCTGCTCAGAGGCGGCTGTGACAGGGCTGCAGGCTACATGTCAAGCTGTCCCTGGCTTCACAGAGGGGTGTGGAGGGGGAGGGCAGCTGAGGGTGACCACCCTCGGCAGTGCGGGCAGGCAGGAGGCCTGTCAGTGCCCGGGGTGACTGCCAGCACCTACAGATCCTTCTTGGGGTCAACTCTGAGTAATGAGGGCGAGGGGAGGAGGGCTGCTGGCTGTCAGCGCTGCAGGGGTGGGGTGGGGAGGGAGACTGGTGGGAGGGAGGGAGGAAGTGGAATTTGTTTTGGAGAGAGACAAGCTGAGGAGGTGGCAGAGGTGGTAGCTTGGCAGGTGGTGTTGATTGGGAAGTGGGTGTGTTTTCTGAGTGGGTGTGTTGCAGGCCTAGGGTACAGGCCTTTCCACTGTGAAGTCCCCGGTGAGTGTGTACATGGAGTGTGTGTGTGCACAGAGTGTGAGTGTGTGTGTGAGAGTATCCAAGGCCTTTCCACCATCAAGTCCCCATGGCCACTTTTCCAAGCCAGGCCCCAGGGGCTGCCCCATTTCCCCTGCACCCCAGGCTGCTGCCAGGTCTTATTCCTCACCTGCTGCCCCTTCCTCTCTGTCCCCAAAGACCCCGACAGGCCCTTTCCTTGGTTGGGAGTTGACTGCTACTCATTACCAAAGAATGACCTGGAGAGGCGAGGGTGCTATACACGTGACCAGTGTGGGACTTACAAAGGTTTAAAAATAAACCTCGCTGTGTTCTTGTCACCACCGCCCTGGGGCTGCAGAGCTGCCAGCAACCTCTCTGACTGGGCTCTTTGATTCTTGAAGGTAGAGCTCATTCCACCGCCACCCTGGGAGATTCACACAGGGTGGTGGTATCAGAAGTCCAGCCCAGGAGACCATGGGGGTCAAGGTCTTCGTCACTGGCTGAAGGCCCAAGGCAGACCACACAGGGAGGCCTTAGCCAAAGCCCACCCCTACTGAGTAGGCCAAGCATGGGCTGGTGGCGGGAGCTCCCCTGTAGCTACACTCGTGCACTGGGCCTGGATGTCAGGACTGTCTGGCTCTTGCGACACTGCGGGGATGGACACAGAAGCCTAGCCTTGCCCCCGTCAGGCCTTGCTCCTGATACGTGCATCAGCTGGTCTGCTGAGGGGCCTGGGGTTGTCAACCTCAGCTGTGTCAGTGAAGCTAGGAGGCTAAGGAGCAGGAGGAAGCGGCCTCAGTGGCACGGTAGTGTGTGGGAATTTGGTAGAGGAGGGCTTTTCAGTACAGCTGCCCTGAGTAGCCGAACGACCTTGGGCAAGCTACTTAACCTCTCTATGGCTTCAGTCCTTTGGTTTGTAAAATGGGGACCCTAGTAGAAACCACCTCTTGGAGTTGTGAACATTTAATGAGGTGATACAGGTGAGCAACTGAGTGATTTGGGGGCATGTCTCCTGACCTCTCTGGGCCTCAGTTTCCTCCCCTGTAAGATGGGACTGGTGTTGGCACAAAAGTTGGGATGAAGACGGTGTAAGGAGCTCGCAGAGCGCATGCTCCGGAGCTGTAGTGATGACCATGGTAACAAGCATCCTGTACCCCAATGTCTCCCCAGGCTCGCGGCTCTGCAGGGGGCAGGAGGAGGCACGACGCCGCCTCTCAGGAAGACCACGACAAACCTTACGTCTGTGACAGTAAGTATGGGCCGGTCCCACCTTCCTTCCTCCCTGTGCGCCTGCCCCCAGGGCCCCTCTTCCCTGTGCTTCCTTGGCCATCCGCCTGCCAACCTCAGTGTGTGCTCTCCTCTTCCTCTGTCTGCACCCCAGCTTACTCGCCTGCCGCCTCCACCGCAGTCACCACTTCCTTGGGCCTCTGCTGCCCCAGGGGGTTTCTGCAGAGGGGAAGCCAGCTGGGGTGGCCCCCACCCTCAGTTCTGCACCCCCACCTCCTGCCATGCCTCCTGTGTGGCTCTCCTCCGGCTCTCTCTCTCACGCGCTCTGTCTCCTTTAAGATTCATCCTCTATTTCTTTCTGTATTTCAGAGAGTTACAAACAAAAGCATAACTCAAAACCCTCCGACAAAGGTACTTGGCTCGCCATGGCTTTTCATTTGTTTCCCTTTAATTTCCTTTCCCTCTTCCTCTCCTGTCCTAGGTAGGGCAAGTTATGAATCTTTCTATGACGATGACTTACTTTAATAAATGGCCCTCAATCTATCTCCAGCCTTTCTTGCTTGCTTCAGAAACATCTTTTGGACAAGCGACTGCCTGGCTGGCTCCTGAGTTTAGGGCGTGCAGACAGAGCTAGGGAGCCCACGGGAGGGGAGTCGCAGGGAGCCAGGGCAGTGGGTGGACCTCGGGAAACCTGCAGCTTGATGAGGGAGGTGGTCAGCTCCAGACAGCAGAGCACTGGGAGGCAGATTGAAAACCTGTGCCCTAGTCATCTTCTCACTGTACCGGGTACCATTTGCTCATTCTATGGGAGGGCAGCCCTCACCACCACACTCCTAATGATCTTCACTTGCCGTCTTCTCCTCTCTGAGGATGCAGAGCTTCGCCATAGGAGGGAAGAGGCTGCAGCGAGGATGGCAGTGAAACAGTCGAGGCTGGACCCTGGCACGGGTCTCCCTCTGGGTGTCCCACCCATCTCGCCAGGGTCTGCAGTCTCCCTGAAGGCAGGGAGAGAGCTGGCAAGGCGGGGTAGGGGTGGGGCCCAGGGAGCACCCTGGGGGTGGTGTCTTTTGTCTCCCCCTTCACTGGCCTCTTTTGATTTCAAAAAGTTGTTCTGTGTCCAATGGGGTGACAGCTGGTTGGAGAACATTTTGCTAGAAGAACTCAAACTCCATGACTCCCATTTGGCTGCTTAATACTCCATGCAGATGCCATTCCTGAGATGACTCCTGCAGGTAACGTCTCCACCCCAAAGCAGTTCTAGTCCAGGATGAGGAAGGAGCAGGGCATGGGGTCTGATGCCTTTTGGCAGCACCAGGAGGTGCCTGCCTTGGCCTGGGTCTTGCTTCCTACATGGCGTTCAGTTTCACTCTGATACATAGAAGCCCCAGCATGCTGACCCTTGAGAGACTGGCTGTAAGCCATGGGCTGGGAAGGGCCCTCAGACCGTCTTGGGCTTTCTAGCTGTGTTTGGCTTGACCAGCACATCTATCAAGAATGCCAACAACTGCTTTGGAACTGGGGCATTGCTACTATATTCTTCGTTTATTCATTTTTATTTATTTAATTTTTTAAGAGACGCTCTTGCGTTGTCACCCAGGCTGGAGTACAGTGGTGCAATCATAGGATTATAGCTCACTACAGCCTTGACCTCCTGGACTCAAGCCATCCTCCTGCCTCAGCATACGCAGTAGCTAGGACTACAGGCCCATGCCACTATGCTTGGCTAAGTTTTTAAAATTTTCTGTAGAGATGGGGTCTTGCCCAGGCTGGTCTTGAACTCCTGGTTTCAAGTGATCCTCCTGCCTCAGCCTCCCAAAGTGCTGGGATTACAGGTGTGAGCCACTGCACCCAGCCATTTGTTCCTCTTTTAAAATGCTTTATCTTCGTATGTAATTGTCTGCTACTATAGACCGTGGGATCCCTTTTTGCTCTATCTCTGCAGCTTTCATTGGATTCCCAGCCCATCATAATCCCATGGACTCCCAGACACACACACCTGTGTGCCCTTTTCTCTGACTTCATCCCCTCCCAGTTCCTCTCCTCCCACCTTTGCCTCTGACTTCTGCCTCCTTGTGGATCATCTCCATGAAGTGCTGTTTGTGGGCATCCCTCTCTTACTGGGCACCCCTCTTTCTGCAAAGTGCTTGCATCACACACTGTCTCCTGAGTCCCCATGGCTTTGTTTCGGGACTCTCAGTGACGTTTGCTTCTCTCGATGCCCTCCCCGCAGGCTCTCTCCCACCTTCTGTGTGCCCTGTAGTGCCTGGGAGGCCTGACGGCAGGCTTTCTGGAAGTCTCAGCGGCTGCTTTCTTGGCTCTGTCCGCATGCGTGCTGCCTCCTCTCCCTCTCTCGGTGGAGCAGGGGCCACCGTCGATTGCCCTTCTCTGTTCTGGCTCTCTTTGGAAATTGTGTGGCAGCTCGGTGATTAATAGACTTTATTTTTATCTGGTGCCCTTCAGACATGTGATCCTTTGGGATAGAAATGACCTTTGGAGAGGTCACAAGGCCCACCCCCACCACCCCCAAACTGGGCAAGGAGTGCTTTTAATAATCTCTAATGCATCCTAAGTAGAGAGGTGTCTGGCCACCTCCTCGAGCGTCCCTAGGGATGGTGTTACCATAAGCTGCCCTTTCTTCCATGATGCCAGCTGTGCTTCGAATGAGTGTTTTTCCTTAATAGGAGCTGAAGATTTTCTCTCCTACAGGTCCCCTTGTCGTTTGCGCATCTTTCCCCTACGAATAGGCACATTAGGGCTTTGTCCGTCTGGGAGACCTTCTGAACATCCCATATATTCTTGGTTGACTTAGGGCCCCACCCCATAGTCTCTATGGCACCCTGCTTGGAATTCCCTTCCAGGTCTACACTTAAGCATGGCACTCCTAAGAAGTAGCATCAAGTCCAGGTGGCTCAAAGAGCAGCGGACATATCTCCTTACTTATGCCCTGTCCACCCTCTCAACAGCTTACTAGTCGGAGCCTGTCCCAGCCTCGGTGTCGATGCCTCTCCAGGTGCATGCTCTTTTCTACTTATGCGTTTGATTATTCCTTCTTCCATAAATCAGTCTGCATTTGGTCCCATTGAGTCTCAATAAACAGATCCAATAATATGTGACTTCAATATACAAGATTCAATAAAGGCAAATTTAAAGACATTGCCCAGTAGTTAAATTTCATTCTCCACAGATTTGCCGTCCCTGCCATTTTTGTATCATCTATGGTGTGATTTGCATAATTCCCACTCCATCTTTCAAGTTATTTATGAAAATATTAGATCACCTTGGACCCCAACCCCTTTCTGGGTTTATGTGTAGTGGTAATAAGCTATATTCTGATGTGATTTATTTAACCCTTCCTGGAATGCATTCCTGAATATAGTGGTCCTGTGTGTTCTTGCTCCAAGCTTCCTTTGCAAAATGGGTGGCTTGAATATTATTGTAGCTGCTAACTGCAGGTGATAGAGAGTTTGCTTGATGCCTTTTACTCAGTCATTGAATTTCTTCCGTCTCAGAGAAATGTTAAATCACCTGAACATGATTTATGTTTTACCCAATCCATGGTGTATGGATGTATGAATACTTTGTTTTCCAGCAAGTAACCAGTCTCTTTTAATTACCTTGAAAGTTTACCAAGCTTAAGGGTTAAAGTTCTGTTTCTTCCCTTTTAATCTCTTGCTTAAGGAAAAGTGTTTCTTATGCACAAAAAAAGCAACTGAATAGGACATTGTGGAAAAGTCTGTTGGTGTTTGTGAAAGTGTAGGCCCGGACCAGCTGCACAGCAATGCCTAGACGCTTCTTAGAATTCAGACTCCTGGGCTCCACATCAGACCTCCGGTATCAGAATCACTGGAGGGAAGGCCAAGGGGCCTGCATTTTCTGAGCGCTCTTCAGGGGATTCTTGTGTATACTGGCTTTTGACAGTGACAAGTCTACTTCATTTAAACATGAAGGCTTCTGGCTCCTGACTGCTCAGCTCTTATTATTTTCTGCTTTTTGCATCTGGACATTCTGGAGTCTCCAGGAATTCTCCAGGCAGGTTGCCACTGGCTTGCATCAGTGTTTTAGTTGGTCTCCTTAGAATCTATTCTTTCCATTTATTTCACATTGATATACAACTCAGCTATCCAGCGCTTGATTTTTAATTCACTTAATCGCTTTAAATCCTAGCAGTATCCTTAGCCCCATTTTGTAGGCAGGATGATAACTGGGGACAGGCAGGTGGAAGGAATCCTTGGGTTTGGGCTGCTAGAAAGTTTTAAAAGTCATTTCAAGAGTTTGCCTCTTCTCTTCCTAATTGCTCCCAAGCCCGAATTTTTCTGTTAGCGTCATTGGAGCAGACTCCTGATGAGAGACCCACTTTTCCATTTTCTTTGTTCAAGAAACATCATAGCAAAGAAGTTGGTGATGACGTTGTGATATTCAGGGAGAACATTTTGTCTCTAAGCATTAGCCATGCAGGGAGGAGCAAAGCAGGCATATGCCCTTTTGCTAGACACAAGGGAAGCAGTGTAGGAAGTTTTCTTTTTTCCTCGAAGTGTTTTCTGAATCATGGTCTTAATTCCTGTGAGTAGGTGCTTAGGGTGTGTAGAGCGCTAGGCTAAGTGTTTCACATGGATTATTTCTGTAAACCCCCACACCAACCTGGAGAGGCAGGGACAGTTGACCTCACTTTACCGTGAAGAAACTGAGGCTCAGAGAGGTGTAGGGCCTTGTCCATGGTCACACAGCTGGGATCTAGGATGCGAACAGTGGGATATGATCCCAGCGTCCTCAACTCTAGAACCGCCATACCCTAGGACATCTTCCATACTAACTGCCCCTTACATATGCTCTCCTACCCTGGAGTTTCATTCTCTTGAAGGCTGCGGAAAAAGCATTTTCAAAGTTAATTAATGAGAACGCACAACTTACTTATGAGGTGAAGCCCTGGCCGCTGTCGATGGGCAATTTCTAGGCATCAGGCGGGCAGGCTGGAGTCAGGTAGTAGTTACAATTGAAGTAGGATGGAAGGAATTATATGATTTCCAGTCTTTTAAATTTAAATCTATTAAAATCACTGCCCCCCAACTACGGCATTAGGCTAGATTAGTGACAAAAGGCAAATAGACATGGCTAAAGCCCTCCTAGAAGCATGACTCACTCCTGAGTCACGTCAGGTGTCACACACCAGGAGCGGGCCCTCTCAAGGCCACCTCTGTCTCAGCAAAGTCTCTGTTCTCTACCACCTCCACCCTACAGATGTGCGTCTTCAGCTGTGTGGCCGCTTCACCCTGTTGCCTCCCTTCTAGAAACCCAGTCGGGGAGTGTGTTGCCACACCCAGTGGGGGTAGTATCAGAATAGGGTCTAGGGTCTCTTCCCGTTCTAAAGTCTCTTGTTTCTTGGCAGTGGTGTACTTCAGAGAGAAGGGTATCAGGCTGATGGGAGGAGCAGGCTGGACGTTTAGTCCTGGTTCTACACCTCAGTTGCTATGGCACTGGTTTCCTCCTTTGTCCGTGAGGGGATGGCTCCTCCTTTGGGCCTCCGGACTGCCCTGATCAGCACTCCTTCCCCACACAGTGGCGCCTTTCTTCCCAGGCAGCAGCTTAACAATGATGCTCTTTACTAGGGAGGCAAGATGTCTGGAGGACATGAAGGGAGCAGTGGATTGGGGAATACCACGGGAAACTGTGCCACAGGCCAAGAGGTGCGATGGGATGGGTGGATCTGCTGACTGGACAGACAAAAGCTTGAGCCCAAGGCAGTCCCAGAAAATCTGCTTGACCTCAACCTCTTTCAAACTACCCTGGTTTTACCCCTACCTGAGTGCAGCAGGGAGAGTTAGATGACTCTTGCAGTTTTGCTAAGAAAAAAATTTTTTTGAGGGCATTAAGGCACATATTCTTTAAGGCTCACGTGCTTTTCGCTTCAAGCTGCAGTGGAAAAGCCAATAACGCGGCCTTCAGGCTCACTGCCTTTGTCGCGGAAGGGAAGCTGGGCTCATCACTCAGTTGTCTTGCAGGTCCTTGGATGGGGGTAGGATCGGGGAGGGGAGGAAAGGCTCGGTGCCCCCAGAAACTTGATTTGTGGAGCGGGGCTTGTGGCATGGGATTGATCCCTGGAGACTGAGTGCGCCGTTCCAGCAAAGCTGGGTCTGTTTAAATATTTAAATGCCATTGTGTCATGGACACAGGTTGCAGGTGTTCCGGCAGGACTGGCCAGAGGCAGGGCTGGGGAGAGGGTGAAGTTTCTCTTTGCTGTCCCTAGACCCTCCTGTCTCTGCCTCCTCTCCTCCAGGGCTCGCATCTTGGCATTTGACCTTCTAACCTACACCTGCCTTCTCTGGGCTGTGACCCACACCCTCTGGAGTTATTTTCTATTCAGTCACAACCTTGCTCTCCACTAACTGTTTCTTGATGCACACTTCATGACAATTCCTATTTCTGTGTAGATGACCCATAATAGGGTAGATATTAACCATTGTAGAGGTGCTTTTCATTATTTTTTTAAAATAACTTTTTCTATGGAAATAGTATTTGTTCATTGCAGAATAATCAGGAATTACAGATACGCAAAGCAGAGGTTGCAGTGAGCTGAGCTTGCGCCATTGCACTCCAGCCTGGATGACAGAGCAAAACGCAGTCTCAAAAAAAAAAAAATAGAGGAAAAAACAAAAATGACCCATAATCTCACTCCTTGGAGATAATTTTTTGCTGTATTTGTTTTGCTGTATTCCATTCTAGGATTAATTCTGTCTCTGTCTATACACACATACACACACACACACACACACGCACACAGAAGACGACTAAGAAATGATACGTACCATTTTAACGCCCCGCTGCCCCACTCAGTGATACATCAGGAACATCTTTCTGTGTCAATAAATAGATTTTATGACATAGTTTTTAGGGCTATATAGTGTTCCATTATGCAGATGTGCCACAGCTTATGGACATGTCTCGTAATTTGCTCAATGTTCTACTGTTAGATGTTTAGACAGTCTAATATCTGTTTACTATTAAAAGCACTGCCCCTGTAAACTAGTTCAACCACTGTGGAAGTCAGTGTGGTGATTCCTCAGGGATCTAGAACTAGAAATACCATTTGACCCAGCCATCCCATTACTGGGTATATACCCAAAGGACTATAAATCATGCTGCTATAAAGACACATGCACACGTATGTTTATTGCGGCACTATTCACAATAGCAAAGACTTGGAATCAACCCAAATGTCCAACAATGATAGACTGGATTAAGAAAATGTGGCACATGTACACCATGGAATACTATGCAGCCATAAAAAATGATGAGTTCATGTCCTTTGTAGGGACATGGATGAAATTGGAAACCATCATTCTCAGTAAACTATCGCAAGAACAAAAAACCAAACACCGCATATTCTCACTCATAGGTGGGAATTGAACAATGAGAACACATGGACACAGGAAGGGGAACATCACATTCTGGGGACTGTTGTGGGGTTGGGGGAGGGGGTAGGGATAGCTTTAGGAGATATACCTAATGCTAAATGACGAGTTAATGGGTGCAGCACACCAGCATGGCACATGTATACATATGTAACTAACCTGCACATTGTACACATGTACCCTAAAACTTAAAGTATAATAATAATAAAAGAAAAAAGAAAAAAAAAAGCACTGTTCCAGCTATACCTTTGCATAATGCTTTATTGTTTCCTAGAAGTACAGTTGTGAGGCTGCAGGGCCTGGTGCATGGCCTTTGATCTCTCTTATTTTGAGTCATGGTGGGGAGTATAGGAAAGCAAGGAGCCTGATGGGTCTGCCAGGTTGCAGAGAGCTGGGTGAAGCAGGATGTGCCCTGACTTTGGAGTGGTTCTGCTGCTTGTTATCTGTGACATCGAGAAAGTCATTTTGCTGTAGGAGTCTCCATGTCCTCCGGTGTATGGTGGGGATGGGGCACAGTGGGAAAGCTGACTGTGATGATGTATGTAAAAAGCTTTGCACGTGGCATGTGCTTGACAAAGGTTTCCCCCACCTTGGTCTTATTTTCTCTTTCTCCAATATGCTTGGAAGGAGAAAGGCTGATATTGTGCAGGAGATAGCACACTGCCGGGGCGGTATTTAATTGAGGGGACAGTGAGCACTGAAGGAACAGGGCAGGGAGTGGTCACACGAAGAGGGGCTGCTGTGTCAGAGAGTGCAGCCCCGGGATGCCAAGAAGGCCCTTAGGGCGCATGGATGGAATTGATATTGGCCCCCAGGGGTGGATGGGTGTGCCCAGGGGTAGGGGGAAGAGGTAATAATGATAATGCTGAAGTTTGTTGACTTATATTATAGACCTGGAATATTCTGTTGGCTTCATCTATATTAACTCTTTAACTCCCACAAAAGTGCTATGAAATGGATGCTTTGGTCATCTCTATCCTACAGATAAGGAAACTGGGGAGAGGAAGGGTTAATTAACTTTCCTGAGGTCACATAGTGAATAAATGCTAGAGCCAAGATTTGATCCCAGTCATTCATCTCTCTCTCTCTCTTTTTTTTTCTCTCTCTCATTCTCCTTCCCTCCCCCACCACACACACTATCACTGTCCCTTTCTGGAAGCTGCTGGTACCTTGTGCCTACCTCCTGGTAGGCTGCCTCCCACATTGTGTGATGACAGTTTGTTTCTCTGCTCCCTCAGGCTGGACTGTGAGCCTTCTGAGGGCAGGGCCCAGGCCAGAATCAACTTGCAGCCCAGCCCCAGCACAGTGGTGCTTCCAAACTGTTGATGAATGTCTGGAGAAGGGAATGTGGGATGTGCATACCAGGGAAGAAGAAGGCTCAGCTCGACTAACCCAGAGCATGTGGGTAGGGAGATTGGGGGCACAGAGTTAGACCAGGGTTGCTGGGAACATCAGGCTGAGGTGCTTAGAGCCACAGTACCCAAGTTTTTTGGCACCAGGGACTCATGGAAGAAAATTTTTCCACGGACCAGGGGCGGAGGGCAGGTTTTGGGATGATTTGAGCACATTACACTTATTGTGCCCTTTATTTCTATGATTATTACATTGTAATATATAATGAAATAATTATTCAGCTCACCATAATGTAGAGTCAGTGGGAGCTCTGAGCTGAGCTTGTTTTCCTGCAACTAGATGGTCCCATCTGGGGGTGATGGGAGACAGTGACAGATCATCAGGCATTAGATTCTCATAAGGAGTGTGCAACCTAGATCTCTTGCATGTGCAGTTTGCAGTAGGGTTTGTGCTCCTGTTAGAATCCAGTGTGACATCTAATCTGATCAGACAGAAGGTGGAGCTCAGGTGGTAATGCGAGTGATGAGGAGCAGCTGTAAATACAGATGAAGTTTCTCTTGCCTGCCCGCCACTCACATCCTGCTGTGCAGTCCAGGTGTCAGTCTATAGCCCGGGGGGTTGGGGACCCCTGGCTTAGAGGTTGGCCTGCATGGTCCGTGGTAATTCATGACAATCCTAGGGACATCTCTAGGAAGGTTGATCTGTAGGATTCGGTGTTCAGGGAGGAAAGCCTGAAGCCTGATGACCGAGAAGAGCCTTTTCTAGTCAGCTAGGAGAAGACATGAAATCTGGATGGTGGTGATAGCAGCAGTGAAATAGACGGGGCAGATGAAGAAGACTTAATGAAAGAGAAATTCACAGAACCCGGCAGATGATGGACAGGATGTGGAGAGCAGGAGAGGAGAGAGGGAGGTGGCAGTGATGACTCTTGACATCTTGCACTTGGGTCATTGAGACAAAAGGGGTAGCTTAACTGGAATATCCTAAAAGGGGAAGTAATTTTGGGAGTGTGATGAAACTGACATATGAGTTGGTGGAAATGGCAGGAATCCAGGCAGAAACGTCTTAACAGATGCTAATGGACAGTTGTTGTTTCCTCTAAGGCACTGAGGAGCTTACACTGACATTGTAGGTGGAAGAAGGCCTACCTCAGGCAGGGGGTGGGGAATCACACTGGATAGCCTGGAACTCACAAATAAAACCTGCTCAGCATTTGAGGCCGCACTGATGTCCTGGCATGGGAGGTGTACAGAGATATTGAGAGAGAGGATGCTAGCAGGATTCCCAGATGCCTGGGGGCTGCCTCAGCTTAGGGTAATCAGGTCTGATTTTTGACCTTTCTCTTTTTACCTTCCCCAGAAATGTTGACAATGACATTTATTATTTAAATTATTTTTATTGTACAATTGAAAAGAGAATTCAGTTTCACTCTTAATTTAAGCTCATTAAGGACATGCTAACGCAGGACTCACTAGAATCAGGAATCAAAGACACCACCCTGAAAGGGATGCCAGTTGGAAGAAGGTGGCTCCGGAGTCAGAAAGCTAGGATTTGAATCTTTACCAGGTCACTTCCTAGCCATGACCTCAGGCAAATCACAAAACCACTTTGAGCCTTTGTTTTCTGGTCTGTTAGGTGAGGACAATAATATTAACCTTAGTGGGTTTCCAAGAGGGTTCAATGAGAAATTGTGTAAAAACAATTAGCTCACTGCTTGGTTCATAGATATTTTCAATAAATGTTTATTTTCTTTATACTGAATCAAGAAAAGGTACTTATTTAACACCTAAGCTGGGGCCCCAGTTGTGTTCTGTGCCCTAGCTGCTGCAGGATCTAAGGGAGTTGTCTGATCAAGTTAAATGAATGATCAAAAATAGCTGATGTTTGTTGAACATGTGCTGTGTGCCAGGCACTGGGCTGAGCATTGTAAGAAGATGAACTCCTGCAGTTCTCACACCTCCCCCATGAGCTACAAACTGTTATTGCCCTTGTTTTACAGACGAGGAAACCGAGGCTGAGAGAGACTAAGTCACTTGCCCAAGGTCACATTGCAAATCAGCTGACCCAAGAAGGCAGACTCCCGAGTTCACCTGCATTCTGTTACCCGGCTTCTCAGCAGGGCAGGAAACATTCCCATAACACATGGAGTGCTTTGGTTTTGGGGGGTTTCTGCATTTCCCTGCTGAGGATCCAGAAATCAGGTGATAGAATATTTTGAAACGAGAGTCTGGTTGCTTGTCTCTGTTCTTCCTCACATCTAGTAAATTCCCAAAATAAGCAGGACACTCTCCCTTGATGAAGACACAGGACTTTTGGGTCACTGGAGTTTGATAGATCCTGGGTCACCACCAGGCCCCAAGAAATGTGGCTGTGAAAAATCAGGGTGTTTTACCCCACCCCTACCCCCAATCCCCTGTGTCTCCATCCAAAGGAATTCAGCTTAAAATAAGCATCAAGGGTGGCCTGAAAGAAGGTATGAAGCCACGGGACGGCAGCTGCCAATCGTGCAGGGTGGGGTGGGGGGAGGTGGATGTAGCCAGCCTCTGGGAGCCTCATCATTTTCCTATCACAGTTGAGGAGATAATAGCTTCAGGACCTACAGAGAGTTGTGAAGTGCTAGAATGCAAAGGACTTAGAGATCATCTGATCCAACCCCCATATTCTGCAGATAAGAAAAATCAAGACCCAGAAAGGTATGAATTTGTCCAAGGGTGCATAGCGGGTTAGTATCAGACCCAGAGCCAGACCCCCGGTCTCTAGAAGGCCACCGAGTCTGCTGGCCTCGAACTTCAAGGGCAGGGGAGGGAGGAGAAGCCCACCTGGGGGTTGGATCCACCGTTGGCTTTTGAGAAAAGCCTGGCCAGTTGAAGTGGCTGTGGGATGAACAACTGTACCCTGCGTACCCAGTCTGAGCAGGTGGCTTTTGGAAGTACCTCCTGGGCTTTATCCCGATCTGAGTTTGTATCTGGGAGTCACACAGGGCTTTTCTCAGTTGGGGCTTCTCCCTGCTCGGGGGAATTGGTTGTAGGAATGCCTCCATCCCCCAGATGGTTCTGCAGAGAGAAGATGGAGGGTCGTTGGGAGGTGTTGGTGGCCCCAAACTTCTACGAGCCGGTCTGGTAGGGTGTGAATATGTGTCCAAATGGTATCCGGCAGGATGTGGGATTCCACTCAGAAGGGCTGGATGGAAGGGAATTTGATGCCAGAGTGATTATGAAGGTGTGGGCAAGATGAAGGTGCTGACAGGGAGAGCGGGAAGCCCTCCCTATCCCCAGCTCCAAGGAGCAGGGGAGACATGGGGTTCCCAGAGCCAGGCAGGACTGGAGTCTTGGAGGTGGGCCCCTATACAGCCCCTGTATAGCACAGTGCCCAGGCAGGGCAGGGCCCAAGTCCCCACGTGTTTTTCTTCCCACCCTCCGTTCTCCTGCTGGTGCCTCCTTCTTGCCGAGAGCAAGGGAGCATGGGTGAAGCAGGCCACGCCAGTCAGCCCCAGGCCGTTGGGGTGGGTGGGGAGGGAGGCAGTGCCAAGCAGAGACTCACCAGCGCACCTTTCAGTCACGTGCTTCAAGGGCAGACAGACCAGGGCTCAAACTCTGGCTGTGCCATCCAGAGAATTGCTTAAACTCCCCCAGACTCAGTTTCTTCATCTGTGGAATGGGGATCCTTGCCTCCTGAGCTGTGAGATTCTGCATGGGAATGGGTGCTGCCTGATGGTAGGTGTGATGCCTTGGAGGCATCGGCAGATGACAGGCATGGTGGGGTCTGGGTGACAGATGAGGAAGTCCAGCTGCAGAGAGAAGGAAGCGGTGTCCTCAGGGTTGTATGTCAGTGCCACGGGGCAGAGCCGGGAATGAGCTGTGGCTGGTGACTGGCTGGTGACTCCCAGGGCCCAGGCTTTGTCTCTGGGATGCTCATCCTGTAATTGCCTTCAGTCACTGCTTTCAGTCTCTCGGAAACCACTGGCTCAGATTCCCACTGTGTGCTCCAAGTTGGGCTGATGAAAATGTGCCAGAGTCATTAAGTTATCAGTGGGGAAGGCAGCCGCTTCTCCCCGGCAGGAAGGATTCTGCTGTCTGCTGCAGCGGCTTTGTTCACACAAGCTGCCCCTGATTCCTCCTCCTCCCTGCTCCCCCCGACCCCCGCCCAGACTAGGAGTGGGGTAGGTTTGAAGGAGGGCAGGGGGCGTGCAGTAAATATTTTGGAGCGGCACTGAAGGCATCCATAACTCCAGACAGGAGGTCCTGCATGCAGAATCCAGTTCTGGATTGGGAAGTGGGCAAACACTCCTTCTGCACCTTGACAGATGGATCCGCCCCAGGGGGAAGGAGAAAGAGAAGGCAAGCTGGACCTCCCTTATTGTCACAGCCACTGCTCTCCATGTGCACCATGCCAGGAACACAAAATCCAGGTGCACGCTTGCCAAGGTGAAAAGAAGGACCTTAGGTCGTGCACAGGCAGGGCTGACTGGTCCCAGGGGTGGTGGCTTCAGAGGTGCATGGTGCAAAAGCGCTTGCCCCCGGGGAAGGAGACTGGAGTGGGAAGATGGGGCATGACCCTCTCTGCTGCTTCAGCGCTCCTGGGGCTCAGGCTGATTCCGCACGACAGATATTTCCAGAGTGAGAATGCCGACATGATAAAAGGAGAGCAGATGGTTCCAGTACTTTATTTTCAAAATGTTTCTTTTCCCACCCTCTTTTCCTTGCTATTCCACTCCAGACTTCAGAGGAGAAATAACTCCCCACTTTGGGGTTTATTCTCTTTGTTGGGCCACTTTGACAGCAGTGGTGATGAGAGCAGCTGAGAACAGCCACGACTCCCCATGAGCTGGGCTTTGTTTTAAATACATTCTCTCATATGGGTCTCACCGCGGGGAGCAGGTGTGCTGTCATGATCCACCTTGTTTTACAGAGAGGATGCTGAGGCACAGAGAGGATTAGTAACTTGCCCAAGATCACAGAGTCAACAGCAGAGCTGGGACTTGAACCCAGGCAGTTCAGATCCAGCCTGCCCACTTACCTGCTGCAGATTCTGCCTCTCTGAGGGCAGAGCCGATCTAGAAGCCAGGCCTGGGTGGTTGATGGCACTGAGATGATGACTACTGAGCAGCTAATCACTCTGGCCAGACTTTCAAGATTATCTCAGAAGGGAATTTTATGCCTGACTCAGGACTGGTTGGGACCTGGGTTCACCTTGGCAGCTCTCAGACTATCAGGTCAGCTATTTGGAGTAACTTAGTCTCAGATCTCCACTCTGAACCCAACAGACTTCTAGAACTGGCTACGTGATTTGTAGGGTCCACTGCAAAATGAAAATGCGGGGGCCCTTGTTCAATAAATATTAAGAATTTCAAGATGCCAACAGCAGGGCATTAAACCAAGTGTGGGGCCTTTCTGAACTCGGACCCTGTCTGGAAGCACAGGTCACAGGCTCACGAAGCTGGCCCATGGTGTTTGCAGTGACAGGAAGACATGATTAAACACAGAAGGAGAAACAGTGCTGGCTTTTCTAAGCCAGTCAAAGCAGGATTTCAAGACGTTTCTTTCCATTGTGATGAAGCAGTTTCATCCTGATGCAATCCAACCAAAATAACTCTTGGAAGTCTTCACTCTTCCTCTTGCCCCTATGATGAAATCATTCCAAGGACTAAGACTTGGGAGTCAGAATAGGCTGGTAAAACACAGGCTCCACCCTGGTCTGCCCTGATCCTAAGCTCCCCTCCACCCACCAACCTCCCTCTTTCCTCCTCCCACAGCTGGCCCCATCAGCACTTCCTCATTTCTTGGAGCACCCTGCAGTTGTGCTCCTCGACTTTGTGGATTCTCTTCTTGCTAAGGCAACTTCCCAATTTCCAAATCCAGTGGTCTCTTAGTCTCCAACCTTCTTGACCCTTCTCAGGCATCTGATTAATTTATTACTGTGGCTCTGCCTCGGTGCAGAATCTCCTCATCTTTCTTTAAAATGGGGATGCAGGTTGCTGTGAGTCAATTTACTTGAAGCACTTGGAGTGGGCCTGGTCCGTGGTAAACACTCAATAGCTGTTGGCAGGACCTGTGACTGGTGGTGTCATTGTTACTGTCGTCTTGAAACCCTGTTCCTTTGGCTTATGTTGCTCACTCCTGTGTGAGTTTTTCTTAACAATTACTAATTTTTTTTTTTTTTTTTTTTTTTGAGACAGAATCTCTGTCACCCAGGCTGGAGTGCAGTGGCACAATCATGGCTCACTGCACCCTCGACCTCCTGGGCTCAAGTGATCCTCCCACCTCAGCCTCTTAAGTAGCTGGGACTACAGGAGCATGCCACTACACCTGGCTAATCTTGAATTGTCTTTTGCAGAGATGGGGCCTTGCTATGTTGCCCAGATGGGTGTTGAACTTCTGGCCTCAAGTGATCCTCCTGCCTCAGCCTCCCAAAGTGCTGGGATTATAAGCATGAGCCACCACACTCAACCCTTTCTAAACAAATTTTTAAAAAATCAGTTTCTCTTTTTCCACCAGTTTCTTAAGATCCTGGTGTTTTCTGAGTTCTATCCTGTGTAGGCACCTCTTTTCTCTCTCCACAGTCTCTTCCTGACACTTTTCCCCATACTTATAACATCCATTGCCACCCTGCCAGCTCCAAAATCTACGTCTCTTTCCCAAGCTTTAGGTGAACTCAACTCATTTTCTTCCTTCTTTAAATCTGGTTTTCCTCCTTCATCCTTCTACCCAGTTGCCCACGTCAGAAACATGTGCATCTCTTTGCTTTCCGTAGCTGACATTGAGCACCTGCCACAAGTGAGGCCCTGTGCTGGTCATCGGGACACAGCACTGCGGATACACAGGACCTGCCATGCTTGCTGCCAGTGGGAGAGATGCATACAGATGCTCATCCACTTATGGTAGTGCTATGTCCTGGCAAACCCATCATAAGTTGAAAATATCCTAAGTCGAAAATGCATGTCTTACACCTAACCTACCAAACCTACTAAACCATAGTGTAGCCTAGCCTACTTTTTTATTTTATGTTTTTTCTTGCTCTGTCACCCAGGCTAGAGTGCCGTGGTGTGATCTCAGCTAACTACAACCTCTGCTTCCTGGGCTCAAGTGATCTTCCCACCACAGCCTCCTGAGTAGCTGGGACTATAGGTGCGCACCACCACACGTGGCTAATTTTTGTATTTTTTGTAATTTTTGTATTTTTTGTAGAGACCATGTTGCCTAGGCTGGTCTTCAACTCCTGGGCACAAGGGATCCTCCCACCTTGGCCCCTCAAAGTGCTGGTATTAGAGGTGTAAGCCACCATGCCCAGCCCTAGCCTACTTTGAAAATATACATTAGCCTACAGTTGGGCAACATCATCTAACACAAAGCCTATTTTAGAATAAAGCATTGAATATCTCATGTAATTTATTGAATACTGAACTGAAAAACAGAACAGCTGTATAGGTCCTTGAAGTATGGTTTCTATCGAATGTGTATTGCTTTCACACCATTGTAAAGCTGAAAAATCAAAAGTCAAAGCATTGTAAATTGCGGACTGTCTGTATTGACACGTGATTAGTCCTAGGAAGGCAAAAAACTAAGGTTGTAATTTTGATTTGAAAGACTTCCCTGGGGGAGGACATTTGAACTGAGATCAGAGGGATGATTAGACCTTAATCAGGCAAATTGGGGATGGGGACATTCTAGGCAGAGGAAAGAGCTTGTGTGAAGACTCTGTGGTGGGAAGAGAAATCTATAATAAACGAAAAGGCCAGCGAGCAGAAGGGCTGTGTGGAGGCAGAACGTGGTGTCAGAAGAGGCTGGAGAGGTGGGTGGGGCTGGGTCAGGCCTGGCCAGGAAGGCCATGTTAGTCTTTCTGGGTTCCTCCTTGCTTTCTTACTCACTCCCTTTTCCACCAAGTTCTCTCATTAACCCCTCTCCCACCCCATTTTTCCTCTCCATGCACAAGTCCTCATTGTTGCACAGGTAAACAATTGAAATAGCCCCTCGCTACCTTCAAATCCATATTCTGCCCTACAATCTTAAGCAGTATTTCTAACATGTCAGTCTGCTTAACTTGGTCCTCAGGATAGAATCCTCTCCTGGCTGCCCCATTGTCAGGATAAAGCCTTGCTCAGCTTCCTCTCCTGTTAGTCTTCCTCACATCCACCCCCACCGCTCCACCTCTTCAACTTTGTTAGACTTCTCGCAGTTTGCAGAGGTGATAACTGCATGTGCTTTGAGCCCCCTTTGCCTGCTGAAGTCCTGCTCATGTCAGGGGCTCCTTCTCTGGGAAGCCCTACCCTACTCACTCAAGCCAGTTTCCTGTCCCCTCTTTGATGTCCCTCTTTGCCTGGCACGGTCTCACCCTGTATCCAACCCACCTCCCCCTGGCTTGTTTACATGCAGATCTCTGCTAGACTGCGACCTCCTCCATGGAGGGGTCTGGGGCTTGTTCATTTTTGTCCTTCTTGTGGCACAGGGTGGGGCACATATTAGGTGTCTAATAAATATTTCTTGAATTGAAGACCTGGTGATAGAAGAATGACATGGTACAAATACCCGGTTAAAAATGGAGCTCCATCCAGAGGGCTCTTCATGAAGAAGTCTGGCTTCTGGGACCTCCATGTATTGTCTGGTCCTGATTCTGCTAATAACTGCTAATAACTGAACAAAGGTCTCAAGGCTGCCTATCCTGCCCCTGCCTGCTACGGCCATCCATCAAGAAGGGCATGTGGACATAGGGTTGGTGGAGCCAAGCCTAAATAGATCCAGCCTTCTAGCCCAGTGGTTCTCAAACTTTAGTGTGCATCAGAATCACCTAGAGGGCTTTTAAAAATCTAGATCACTGGGCCCCACCCCCAGAGTTTCTGATTCAGTCAGTCTGGGGTGGAGCCCAAGAGTTTGCATCTCTAACAGGTTGCCAGGAGATGTGGATGGTGCTGGTCTGGGGACCACTGTTTGAGAATCTCTGTTCTAGCAAAAGGATTTGCTCTAAACATTATTACTTTCTACCATGTTGGGGAAGGAGATAGAGGGAGCTTTTTGCTTAGGTTTGGTTTTGTAGACTTTTAAGAACAATTAGTCTGAGCTTAATGTGGGTAGAAGGATTAGATTCTGCAATTTGCCTCTTCGCCCATCTCCTGGCCTTCCCACAAAATGGTTCTGTATTCATTCATGAGCCACTCAACAAATATGTTTTGAAGGCGTAGTATGTATATGTCAACATATAAGGTGGAGTTGTTGATATCAAGATGAAATTGATATGAAACTGTCCTTAAGAGACATAGTGCAGACATAGCCATAATTCAAGGAGTCTAAAGGAGAAATGCCTGCTTTGACTGGTAGTGAGTTCCCTATCAATGGAGTTGTCCAGAACAGCCTTCTAGAGTTATTGGGAATAAAACACTTCTCTAGATAGACAAAATGACCATTAAGATCCTGAAATTGTGTGATTAAGCAACAGTGATGATTGACATAACAAAATGGCACAAGTGAAATGCTGTGAGTTTATACTGGGGATCTGCAGAGGTGGCTGAGGCCTCTTTGTGTAAATACTGATATCATTATCATTACTTTTAATAAGCATTTATTCCTTACTAACAGTATGCCTGGCAACTAAATGGATTTATATGCAATGACCCCATAATTTGCTGTGTATTAACTTCAGATTATCTAAAAAGCTAAATAGAAAAAGCCACAAGCAGATCCAGAGTGCACCTCAGGGGCCTCTTTGGGTCCAGCTTCCTGAGTCACATGGAATTAAGATGCATAGCACTATTTTATTTTATTTTAATTTTATTTTTTTTACAATATTTATGAGAGAGAGGAAGAGAGAATATATGAATGTAAGTAGCCAATGATAGGCCTATTTATTTTAATTTTTTATTTTTTTAGATTCAGGTTTGTTACATGCATATATTACATAATGCTAAGGTTTGGGCTTCTATTAAACCCATCATCCAATTAGTGAACATAGTACCCAATAGGTAGGTTTTCAAGCCTTGCCCTCTTCCTTCCCTTCCCCCTTTTGGAGTCCCCAGCATCTGTTGTTTCCATCTTTACGTCTGTGTGTACCCAGTGTTCAGGATATTCCGTGGAATATTACACAGCCATAAAAAGAACAAAATCATGTCCTTTGCAACATGGATGCAGCTGGAGGCCATTATCCTAAGTGAATTAATGCAGAAACAGAAAATCAAATACCATATGTTCTACTTATAAGTGGGAGCTAAACATTGGGCCTTGAATTTATAGTCACTGGGTCACCAACTTGAATTTCAGACTCTCATCTTACCTTAACAAAGAAGTCCAACCAGTTGCCAGATTTTATAATATGAGGCAAGGGTCAAAGTCCCTCTTTTCAGGAAGATCCAGTACCTAAGATGCAGCAAAAAATGCTGACAGCCCTTGCCCCTCATTTACCATTTATTGAACATCTATTATGTGCTGGGTATTGAGAGAGCTGCTTGCAAATGCTATTTATAATACCTTTACCCATCCTGCAAGATAAGTACTGTTATCCTCATTTTCAGATAAAAGAAAAGGCACAGAGCTGCAGCTTGTCCAATTTCATGCAGCAAAACTCTTCAGTTAATTTTTAGAAATCAACATCACCATAAAATTGAAACCTAATAAAAGATAGTCCAAAAATTATAGATTGAGCTCAAGTCTTAGTACAGATTCAAGATGCAGTATTAGAAAGCAGAATGCAGCAGTATATCAAATAAATAATATACTCTGACCAAATGGAGTGCATTCTAGGAATGCAAGAATGGTTCAATAATAGGAAATATTAGGAAATCAACGTAATTTACCTTATCAACCAACTAAAGGAGAATCATATTATAGTAGATGCTGAAAGGGTAGTTGATAAAATTCTCCTATAATAAAACTCTATAGCAGGAATAAGAAGAACTACTTAAATTTGGTAAAGACTAAAAATTAGCCAGATACATCGTTCTAAACAGTGAAACACTAAATCCACCTTCATTAACATTGGAAATGCTTGCTTTTGCCATTTGAAGATATTGTTTTGGTGGTTCTTACAAATGATCTAAGCTAAGATAAAATAGTTTATGTAAATATGGGGAAGAAGAGGTGACATTATTTTGGCCAATGTTTGTCTACTGAAAAACCCCAAGAGAATCTGGTAGGAAGAGAAACTCTATCAGAAGTAATAAGGGTATTGGATAAGATGACTGGATGACAGCACTTCTGTATACTCTCAGGACCACACAGCCAGTGAACCTCAGCAGCTGGAACTGGGATTTGAACCCAGGCCTGATGCTAAAGTTGTGCTCTTCCCACCTTGTGAAGCATTTATGCTTCCTTGTATGACGTGGTCATGTCAGCACAAGGGAGAAGTCTTTTAGAATTTGTAACTTTCAGGCACTCCAGCAGAGAGCAGGTTGGTTTGCTCTGATGGGGACCCAGGCTGGGGGACAAGCATAGAAGGTTGGCATGGACATTTCACTGGGAAGACTCTCGAGGTTTCTGCTACCAGCAATGCCGTCCCCCTAGGGGCCGAGATAATGATCCCTATGTGGGGAGGTTGAGGGTGGTAGTGTGACCTTGAGCCATTTAGCCAGACTTCTGCTTCCCAGGAACTGAGCATCTAACCAACAGAACTGCTGCCCTTTCTTCCTGGCTCCAAGAAGGCACATTTCGATTGCTCGCTGCCCTTGGCTCAAACTGCCCCATTTGAGAGGTAGTACTTGTGAGAGCACCTTTTACAGATTTGGCTGCCCTGGGGCATCAGGGGCACAAGCTCTTGGTGACTACACTCACCAAGGATGCTTTAACTCCATGGCGTTCATGGTAGAAGTGCAGCATGTGTTTCTGGCACAAAATCGCTGGGTGAGACATCAAAAGGATTATCCAGATAAAACTTTTCTACTTCTTGCAGAGGCCAACCATGGGGTGGTGGAAGGGACAGTGCACAGGAACCCAGGAGACATGGGTTCTGGTGGCTCTGCCACACTAGTTGTGTGCTCCTGGGCAAGTCACTTGGTGTTGCTGGGTCTCACTTGCCTCATCTGTGTCATGGGATGTTGGATTGGGTAGATTCCCAGTGCCCTTTGAATTCAACGTCATAACAATTACCCTCACAAAGTGCCTGATATTGTTTTAAGTACTTTGCATAGAGATAAACTTATCACAATGACCCTGTGAGGTAAGTACTGTTATTGTTCCCATTTTATCTCGGAAGAAACTGAGGCACAGAGAGGTCAAGTGACTTGCCCTGGGTCTCACAGCTAGAAACGGTGGAGTGCTCACACAGCTCTTAACCTCATATTTTACTTTTACAGTTTTTCTTTCCATGACCTGAGTTGTTACAAGGGTGTTGGTTCTGTTGGGTGGGGGAAAGGGATGTTGGGATGGGAGACAGTTTTAAGGGAAGCCTGGCTCTGGGGTGGATGGATGGGATCACTGTCTGGGAGAATGATAGCGGTGGCTGCACAGGTTGCTAATATTTGTATCTCTCCCTTTTTTCCTCTTTTCCTCTCTAGTCTGTGGCAAGCGCTACAAGAACCGACCGGGGCTCAGCTACCACTATGCTCACACTCACCTGGCCAGCGAGGAGGGGGATGAAGCTCAAGACCAGGAGACTCGGTCCCCACCCAACCACAGAAATGAGAACCACAGGCGTGAGTGCCTACTTGTTAGGTTGGGGCAGTGAAGAAGTGGGTTAGACAGGCTGGGGAGCGTTCCTTGTTCCTTTTTCTCACTGCTGGCATCTTCTGGTAGCAACCGTTGAGTGGTCTCAATGTGCTGTAGTGTGTTGGCCCTTTCAGCCAGCCAGCCAGCTGCCCCTGCAGCTCAGCCCAACCCTAGGCTTAGCAATAGCAGGGCTGGGCTCACACACCCTGCTCTGCTCCCAGAGGAAGGAAGGTGAGTGTTAAGCAGAAGAGAAAGTCCTTACCTGGCCACTGTCAGATGCCAGACCTACAACTCTTTTCCCTCACTCCTGAAGAGCCAGCCACTCAGACTGGGTTGGGCATAGGTAATAGGTGTGTCAGTTCAGACACACATTCGAAATGCCTGCTTGGCTACGAAGTGCCTTAGAATATTCTTATCTATTGCTGTGGTTTTGTTGTAGAGGGGAGGGGATCACATTTTGGTACAGGGCTCTCCTGCCTTAGAAATGCTGCCTGGAGACCCCATGTTCTTTGCTTCAGCATTCAAATGGCAAATGTGATCTGGGTGGATTTGTCGTTTGGGATGTTGGGCTCTCAAGACCCAAAATGATCCTGAAGATTTTGTGTTTCCGTTTCTCTGCTTTCTTACCTCAACTTCCAATTATGAATTAGGGAATCCAAAGGGGCTTAGCATTTTCCATTTGACTTTCCTCTAGAACATCCCTTATGGTCTCTGGGCCTGCAGAAATCTCAACATGGAAATGGGATAATGGAATCTTTAGAGCCTGCTTGAAGATGTGGGCCACACTGAGATCTCTCAGTGAAGAATATTCGTGGACAGGCCATGTGTTTTTCATTTTGTTCAGAAGATTTGGTGGTAGGTGTTCTGAAAGTGAACAACTCAATGCAGTGAAAGGGATCAGACGTTTAAAATATTCAGACTCTAGGATTAGAGGATGCGTGTTAGCCAACGACTTAGTCAACTGATGTCCACTGGCCACTTTCACCAAAGATTTGAAATAAAGAACACACCTGTGGCCAAGACCATTCTTCAGATTAGTGTGGGGTCTCCCTTAACCTCCACCCCACTTTCCCCTCGTAATATTGCCTTCTTTATGGGTTTGCTAGGGTTCTCATAAGAAAACCCCACAGATGGGGTGGCTTAAACCACAGAAATTAATTTTCTCACAGTTCTGGAGGCTGGAGGTCCAAGGTCACGGTGCTGGCAGGGTTGGTTTCCTCTCCTTGACTTGCAGATGCTGCCTTCTCCTGTCCGCTCGCACAGTTATCCCTCTGTGCATGCGTGCTGTGGCATCTGCTTTTGTGTCCACATTTCCTCTTCTTCTTTTTTTTTTTTCTGAGACGGAGTCTTTCTCTGTCGCCAGGCTGGAGTACAGTGGCGTGATCTTGGCTCACTGCAACCTCTGCCTTCCAGGTTCAAGCGATTCTCCTGCCTCAGCCTCCCAAGCAGTTGGGACTATAGGCACTCATCACCACCCCCAGCTAATTTTTGTATTTTTAGTAGAGACAGGGTTTCACCACGTTGGCCAGGATGGTCTCGATCTCTTGACCTCGTGATCCGCCTGCCTTGGCTTCCCAAAGGGCTGGGATTATAGGTGTGAGCCACCACGCCCAGCCCATTTCCTCTTCTTGTAAGGACACCTGTCAGATTGGATATTAGGGTCTATCCTGACAAGCCCATTTTAACTTTACCTCTTTAAATGCCTCTTTGAGGACCCTACTTCCAAACCAAGTCACAGTATGAGGTACCATGGGTTACGCTTTCAACATAGGAATTTGGGAGTGGGGAGGGGATGCAATTCAGCCTTCAGCACCTTCTTGAATTTTTGCTCACTTCCAAGGTGCAAGCCTTTAGTGCGACAGACCCTTGCTTTCTCACCTGCTGTTGTCACCTGGACAGAACCTGAACAGCAGAGCAGGAGGTGCCCCCCGAGCCTTGCCCGCCTCTCCTTGCCAGGGCCTGAGGAGCTCCAACACTGAGGTCTTCTCTCTGGGAAGAGCTTTCCTTGGTCCAGTCACCCTTGTCTTTCAAAAAGGAAAAGATACTGACCTGTACTGAGGCAGCCAATACTTGCATTTCCCTTTCTCTCCTCTTTTCCCTGGTCTAAGTGACCAAGAGGTCACACGGAGCTGTTGTCTCCCACCATGAGGAGGCTGAGAAGAATCTCCTTTGATTTTGGTTGCTCCCTGAAAAGTGTTTCTTCGCCATTGTCGCGCTCTCTAAAGTGTTTATTAGCTTGGTAACCTTATTTCTCACTCCCCTGTGCTAGCTTATCTCCTTATATCTCTTCTCAAATGTCAGGCCATTTTGTTCCTTTATTCATGCCCTGGGGTTTGGAATGCTTCTTGTCTGTCTGTGTCTCATTTTCCTTGGTTCTCCTGTAGCCTCATTATGAGCCGGGTGTGTGTGTGTCTATGCGTGTGTGTGCGTGTATGTGTGTGTGTGTGCGTGCATGTTGTGTGTGCGTGTGTATACGTGTTGTGTATGTACGTTGTGTGTGTGCGTGCATGTGTGTGCGTGTTGTTTGTGCATGTGTGTGCTTGTTTGTGTGCATGTGTATTGTGTGTGTACCTGCGTGTGTGTGTGTTTTTGTATATGTGTGCATGCGTGTGTGCACATGTGCATATGTGTCCGTCCATGTGCTTGGTGTTTGTGGCTGCACGGGGAGGTGTGCTGCAGACCCGAAGTAGAAGGAGGCAGTCTCCCCAGTGATCCCTGTGGTCCCCTCAGGGTTGGTTGACTTCTGAGACAAGCACTCGGGTGTGGATCTTCTCACGAGCCCTCGTGGGCGGGTGTGTTTGGCCTTCTAGTGTTCTCCCCTTGAGGCCACACAGCCTTGCTTGGGAAAGAAGCTGTGCCTGTCTCCCCTCGCCCTACGTGGAGATGTGGAGACGTCTGCCTACGAAATTTCATGGGTGGCTTGTTCTCACCTCTGTGGGCTTGTCAGTGAGTGGCACACACTCCAACTCCCCCTCCCCTTTTTCTCTTTCTCACCCTGCTGATGAGAAAGTGGGCTCTTCAAAAAGGATCATTTGCCTGGCCAAGGGTTTAAAACCTCCTAGAAAATAATAGGTATTCCCAGGCGGATCCGGGGCCTCCCCACACGAAGAAGGTTCCAGAATCCTCACAAACACCTTTTTAGTGACATCTCACAGTGCCCTCCTCGAAAACTCTGTGATTAACCCAGTTTTGCTAGTGGGGAGGGTACAGCAGAAAGGCTTTTAGTGCCTGCAGAAAACATCCTTTCCCCCACCCCCAATTTCTCTGGACAAACCCATGAGGCAGCTGGTCGTCCCAGGTTCTCTGCACCACACACGCCGCTGACTTGCTCGCCGCCCCGAATGTGTGCTCTGCTCCCTCCCACATTCCCCTGGTGAGCAGCCCCCCGACTATTTTCTTGTGAGCACTAATTGCCAGCATCATTAATACCTAGTCATTAGCTGCTCCCACTGTTTGGGGATAGGGGGTGGCTCCCATCCATCCTGCCCCTAAATGCTACTGGGGCTGTGTGCTGAATTGGAAGTGACAGCTCGGCAGCATCCTAAGGTCTCAGCTTCGTGATCCTCCCTTGGTGAGGCTTTTGGAGGGGAGGGGCAGGTAGGAGAGCTTAATCCAAGAGGCTAATCTGCGGCTCCCCCAGGAGAAGGTCTGGACACCAGTGAAGTGGAAATGCTGACTTTTTCCCCCTTTAGCAGAGCTGCAGGGTGACCCAAGCTGCATGTGAGCGGAGGCCTAATGGAAAAACAGCCTTACAGACACAGGGTTTGCAGGGCCAAGGGCAGCTGGGTTTGCACCACCTGCAGCAGTAGCGACCTTTTGACTTTGGTCCTCCTGCTGTCGCTTGCTCTATCGCCCCCCAGCTTTGTCTTCAGCAGAGCCCATGGCTCATCCCGCGCCTGGTGCTGCTGCTGAAAGGGCAGAGTGGACTGCTGGAGCCGGCGCTGACCTTCCCCGCCCCCGCCCATGCTGCCCTGTGCTGCAAGCTCAGCAATCCACTGCCACTCCTGATCGCCTGGCCCCCAAGCTGATGCTCTCACGCCTTTGTTTCTCCCTCAGTCTCTCATTTTCTCCTGAGTATACATTTCTTGTGTTTCCTGTACGTTTGTCCCCTTTCCTGTGTGCCCTTGCCTCTCTGCCTCAACTACAGGAAGCCAGGGATGCTTGGAGCTCAAACACTCCCCTCTGGGAAATAGTGCTTTTCTGATGGGGTCCTCTGCATGTGGGCTGCATCCCACCCTCTCCCTGCATGAGGCTGGGTGCCTCTTCGGCCTCCATTTCTTTTACCACCTTCACCTACTTTTTGCAAATGAAATAAATGACTGTGTGTGTGCACATGCATATGTACACACACATACACCTACACATAGATGTACACATACATGAATGAAGGGAGGGCAGCTGGGGAGGATAGGACTCTGAAAGATACACTCAGAAGCATACCATTGTGACTACTTAAATGCAGCCTTGGTAGGGAGCCCCAGTGGGGTAGAGTAGCAGAAAGAGCTCTGGACTAGAATTCAAAACCCCCTTAACATAGGCTTGTGATGTTAAACTCTTTGAACTTCTTTTTACCTTCTCTGCACAGTGGGAATTGATTATAGATGATGTTTTTGAGGTAATTTTTAGAGTGAGGATAGACATTTATGAAGTCCTGGGCCTGGATGAAAAGCTGTGTAAATAAATTCAGTCTAATCCATCCATGCATCCATCCATCCGTGTATACGTCATCGATCCATCCACCCACCCACCCACCCACCCACCCACCCATCCATCCACCCACCCACCCACCCACTCATCCACCCACCCATCCACCCATCCATCCATCCCATCCATCCATCCATCCATCCACCCACACACCCACCCACCCACCCATCCATCCATCCATCCATCCATCCATCCATCCATCCATCATCCATCTCATCTGTCCATCTATCCATCCACCCATCCATGTAATAACCATGTATTGAATATTGTCTATATGCTGGGACTAGGGAGGACAGGCATAAATAGGACTCAGCCCTGTCTTTGAGCTCACAGTCTTGAGTGGGAGTGTGCAATGGGGTGTGTACAGAACCGTGAGGGAGTTCAGGACTCAAGGGCACAGGGTACTTTCTATGCCTTAGGGCAGTGGTATTCCAAGTGTGGCATTAGCATCCCTTGGGACCTTGTTGAAAATGTAGATTCTCAGGTTCTACTGGATGTCCTGAAACAGAGACTCCAAGGATGGGGGCCAGCAGTCTGGGTCTTACAAAGCTCTCCAGGGCATTCTGGTGCATACTCAAGCTTTAGGACTACTGCATTAGGGGGTTTGCAAAGGCTTCACCGAAGAGGTGACATTCAAGTTAGCCATTGGAGAATGAGAAGGAATTTCTTAGGAGGGAGAGGGCTTCCCAGGTAGAGGGAACTGTACATGAAGGCAGGCAGGTATGAGATAGCATGGCACATTCAGACAATTGGAAGTCTTTGGGTCTGATAGTAATGTTGGATTTAGGGGATGCAGAGGAAAGATGGAAATGTAATCAGGGGCCACAGTGGGAAGCGTCTTCTATGCCCCTCTGTGTAGTCTTTATTCCTATAGACAGTGGGAAGCCAGAGTAGCAATTACTAGAAGGCAAAAACAAATAACTTAAAAAACATCTGTTTGGAGTCTTATTGTTATATGTTGTATCTCTTTTATTTAATAGCATAAGTAAATATAACATACTCTCTATAGCATACTCAGAGCTCCTAAGAGGGAAATTTAAAAAAATATGAGTCTATAAAATGTATTTCCAGCTGATTTTTCAAGTCTGTGGAATTGAAGATGGGTTCTTCTAGGTTCCTGGAGGTCTCAGCCTTTTGTGCAAGGGTGGTATGCCTGGTGCAAAGTTAGGCTTTTCACCTCTGTTGAGAGAAAAAAGAGCCCCAGCTCTAGCACGCCTTTGGAGGGCATGTTGTACTCTGCAGAGCTGAAAGGGGAGAACCAAGTTGATTAAGGGTAATGTCTGCTGATTAGATAATCTGAAAATTAGTCTGATAATGTGCAAATTATCTAAAAGAAGCATATGATGTCATTGCCACACTGTTGGGAAAGATCTAACAGATGTTAGTCTTCTGACATCTCTTGTCCTCTAACATATGGCTTGAGGGCGGCCAAAAGCTTTAAGAGATAGAGTGAAAATTACCTTTGAAACAAGCTTAGAAATTTTAGATTACTCTGAAAGGTGACTGAAAAGCCATAAAGCCTACACAGCCAACTGCGTACCTAAACTTGACACCAGAAATCCAGCCTTTGTTATTAGGGGAGACAGAGGAAAGTTTAGATACAGAGCTCTTTCTGGGAAATTGGGCTGCTTCTTCCTTCTCAAAGAGTAAATTTGGAAACTAGTAACAGGTGTTCTTTAGAGAAATTATTATTTAACTAGACAGTTTTCAGATTATATAGCAAAGAATCCATAGAGTTGCTCTGGTCCTTGCAGGGGATACTTGGGGCTCATTTTCTGGCCTCAAAGGTCATCTACATCCTTGACCCTGTGGCTGAGGGAATGGCTGTGGAGTTGGTCAGTCCAGGGTGTGAATGGTGACCCTGGCAATCTGCCATCTTCCAGTGGTACAAATGTGGGCCACTTACCTACACTTCTGCTTCTTAGTTGCCTCATCTATAAAACGGGGGTAATAATCCTCCTGACTTCATGGGATTGCTGTGAGTCTTAAATGAGATAATGTGAATGTTTGGCACCATGCCTGTGAGCACTAATGTCCCATCTCTGTCCCATTTGGGCCCACAGGCATGTCTGTGACCACAGATGACTCATCTGAATCATGGTTCCATCTGAGCCCATGTGATGGGACTTTGCCACCACTGTGAAGCTAACTGCCTGTGGGGTGTCATTGGCATCAGCAGTAACTATCAGAGCCTGACCTGGCCCTGGCATATCCTTGGCTAAATCTTAGATATGGGACACAGATCCTTCTGAACAGGCTCATTATGAATATTTATTAAGCACTTACTGTACATGCACCCAGTTGTTGGGAGAAGTGTAACTGGGCCTCCAGAAAGGGATAACGTGGTCTCAGCCCTGGGAGAACTTCTGGTGCAATTGTGGAAATAAGACAGAGTCATAAAACCCAGCCAGAGAAAGCTGTGGAGGGCAATCTAGACAAGTGTGGCACCCTTTTATTTGCCAAGCCATTGCCCTAGGATTGGGGCTCCACGTGTCTCTTGGCTGTCTCTGAATCTCTTTTATTTCTCTCGCATTTTGGGCCTAATTACCTAGAAATGTGCAGGATTGAAAAGACCCACATACCAAACAGCAACAGTGGCAATGGTACTTGCTTGCATTCCTTAAGTGTGTCAGACATGGTGCTAAGCATGCCACATGTATCTCATTCATTCCTCACAATAACCCTGCAAGGCAGGTGCTGTATCCCCCAGAGGACAGCAAGGCACACAAAGACCAAGTCATGTATCCATGGTCAGGGAGGATGAATGTGAATTCATGAGTCATGTACCACTTATTGGGAGAGTTTACTTATTTAGGTCTTTGATTTTTCCTGCCTTGTTAGAAATAAAATTATCTTGCACGTAGAAGAGGAAAGAGGGAAAGAGATGACGGAACAACTAGTAAGTGTCAGGCATTTTACACACATCACCTCATGTTATGATCATAAGTCCATTAGGGACATGTTATTATTCTCATTTTACAGACAAGGAAACTGAGGCTCAGAGAGGTTGAGTAACAGACAGCAAGGTGGGAAGCTGAGATGTGAATGGGCTTGAGTTGGATACCATTCAGTTATGTCAGGACTTTGGAACCCTGAGTGATGGGCCCTAGTCCCAAGGCTTGGATCTTTGTCATGGTCCTACCGATGTCCCTTAACTTTTGCCTCAAGACCAGTTGTCTAATGCATCATGCTGCATTGTGGCTTTTCAAAAGAGATGAACATGTTAATAGGCACTGTCTTAACAAAATTCCATCGACTGGGTGGCTTAAACAACCGGAATTTATTTCTCACAATTCTGGAGACTGGAAGTCCAAGATCAAGGTTCTGGTAGGGTCAGAGTGTGGTGAGGGCTCTCTCCTTGGATTGCAGATAGCTGCTTTCTCATTGTGTCCTCACATGGCCTTTCTTTGGTGTGTACGGGTGGAGAGAGAGAAACAAGCTCTTTGGTGTCTAATAAGGGCACTAATTTCATTACGAGGACCCCACCCTCATGACCCCACTGAACCTAATTGCCTTCCAAAGACCCTTTTCCAAATAACATCCCTTTGGGGGTTAGGACTCTGACATATGAATTTTGGGGATGAGGGACACACTTCAGTCCATAGTAGGCACATTTACTCTTCAAAGCTCTTTACTAACTTAGGCTGTTTGGGATGTTTTAGAGACCCCACCCCTGCATTACAAATTCTAGGTCATACTTTAATTGGTAAATGAGTTTTTTTCCTACAGAAAAAAAAATCACACATCATTCTATTCAATAATTTTCCTGAGTCTTTCTCTCTCATTCTGTGTCTCACTGTCTTTCCTGGCTCTCATTTTTTTTTTCTTCTAAACTTGCTCTTTTAAAAAAAAAAGCTTGAGCCTGAAGTGAAATATTAGGATTCATCCTTGCCTCTTGGTTTTCCTTCAGTCTTCCAAAATATACCCTACATTTTCTCCCTCTCTCTATCTTCTGGCCACCCCTGGCTTCTGCCTGGGTTGTTAAAACTTTTTTGATTGGTCTCCCAGCCTCTAAAGCAGGCTGTGGCTCATACCTGTAATCCCAGCAGTTTGGGAGGCTGAGCTGAGCAGATTTCTTGAGCTCAGGAGTTCGAGTCCAGCCTGGTCAACATGGTGAAGCCCCATCTCTACTAAAAATACAAAAATTAGCCAGGTGTGGTGGTGCATGCCTATAATCCCAGCTACTCGGGAGGCTGAGGTGGGAGGGTTGCTTGAAGCCAGGAGGTTGAGGTTGCAGTAAGCCATGATTGTGCCACTGCACTCCAGTCTGGGAGACAGAGAGAGATCTTGTTTCTAAGAAAATATATATATATGTAAAATATAAAGCAGATGATGTCACTCTCATGCTCTCAACACTTTCATCACGTTTGAATACAACCCAAACTCCTCATCTTGTGGGTCTGTGTTTTGCATCTGACAGTGTGGTCAGAAGCACCTGGGGCTTGGTGACAGCTTGTCCAGGTTTGCCCAGCTACAGCACTGAAAGCCCCACGCCCTAGAACCCTCTGTCCCAGTCAAACCTGGATGCGTGGCCACCCTACCAGGGGAGCTTTTAAGACATGTAGAATCTCAGGCTGTACCCTGGATCTATGAATTCCAACCTGATTGTTAATGAGATCCCCAAATGATTTGCACAGCAAAATCTGGGAAGCCCTAGCCTGTGAGGCCCTGCGTGTCCACCTCTCCGACTCACCTCCCCTCAGGTGCGCGGTTGCTTGGGTTCAGAGCCAAGTGAGCCACTGACTAACGTGTGACCTTAGCTGAGCTGCATAGCCTCCATATGCCTCATGGATCACTATGTAACATCAGATCATTAATGGCATCTATCTCATAGGCTATGATGAAGATTAAGTGAATGACTTCCGGGTGACATGACTGTCACACCAATTAAAGCCATGTTTCTCAAGCTTGAGGCTGCATCAGAATCACCTGGAGCATTTGTTAAAGCACAGCCCACCCACTGGATCCCACCCCCAGAGTTTCTGATTCAGCAATTCAGGCCCTGGAATTTGCTTTTTTTTTTTTTTTTTTTGAGATGGGGTCTTGTTCTGTCACCCAGGCTGGAGTGCAGTGGTGCGATCTCGGCTCACTGCAACCTCCACCTCCTGGGTTCAAGTGATTCTCTTGCCTCAGCCTCCTGAGTAGCTGGGATTACAGGTGTGCACCACCACACCCAGCTAATTTTTGTATTTTTAGTAGAGGCGGGGTTTTGCTATGTTAGCCAGGCTGGTCTCGAACTCCCGACCTCAAGTGATCCACCTGCCTTGGCCTCCCAAAATTCTGGGATTACAGGCATGAGCCACTGTGCCTGACTGGGAATTTGCATTTTTGACAAGTTCCCAGGTAAACCACTACCTTACAGAAATCTAGCTTTCCAAGACTGATGTTCAGTCAGTCAACTTCCTTTTAATTCCTTTTTTCTTTTGGATGCACTGAGCCAGGTAACTGGCCAGGAGTTAGGTTGTACTGTCAAATTGAAGGGGCAGCCTTGGTTTTTGCTCTTTTCCTAATGCTCTATCCCATGTAGGGCAGACGTCTCTGACTCTCAGCACCAACTTCCCGGCCTGCTTTTGGAGTGCGCCCCTGCGTGTGCCACCATCCTCAGGCTGTGCTGCCCCAAGACTCTGTGGTCTCTTGATTCCTTCCAAATCCTCAGGTCTAAAGCAGAAGGCTCATGCTTTCCCTTTTCTTAAATACGGCTTTCTGTCTGAAGAACAAAGAAAATGCTGGTCCCCTTGCAGACAGAGTTCAGTGGTGCTAGTGAAGAGGGTTGAGAGGGCACGGCTGGGCAAAGCAAAACAAGGGGCTTGTTGAATCCTAATTATGTCGATAATAATATCCCGACAACTTAAACAGACAAAACTCATCCAGCTCTAACACACCAAGCTGTCTGGAATTCATTAAGGGGAGTGACATCACTTTGTTCAGAGCCTGGTTGATATAGTTGCTCTCAAATTAACATTTTCTCCTTCAACAAACTCATTTGGTAGCAATCACAAGTTGCCACACCAGGGCATGAACTGACCCATATCACCAAACACTGGAAAACTGAAATATCTCATTACGTGTCACGTAATGAGATATTCATCTCAGTGTCATGAACACTGAGAACATTCCTAAGCTTTTTTTTTTTTTTTTTTTCTTGAGACAGAGTCTTACTCTTGTTGCCCAGCCTGGAGTGCAGTGGCACAATCTTGGCTCACTGCAACCTCTGCCTCCCAGGTTCAAGTGATTCTCCTTCCTCAGCCTCCCGAATAGCTGGGATTACAGGTGTGTGCCACCACACCTGGCTAATTTTTGTATTTTTAGTAGAGATGAGGTTTTTGCCATGTTGGCCAGGCTGGTCTTGAACTCCTGACCTCATGATCCACCTGCCTTGGCCTCCCAAAGTGCTGGGATTACAGGCGTGAGCCAGCATATCCGACCCATTCCTAAGCTTTACTTGGTCTTTTTCTTACTATTCCGAAGCATTAATGGCAGACCTAGGGTTGCCCACCTAAAGCTGGAGCACAAAGGACATTCCTTGGGGGCCGTGTGACCATCTAGCCCCAGAGCTGGTGACATGGTGCACACACTGCTGGCAAATTGTTGTGGCCTTTTGGCAAACCGCAAATTACAACTCTCACCAAATATATCCATCTCAGGATGGAGACATCAGTGTGAGTGGATATGTTTTCTGCTTTTATGGCACAGTTTTTGGGAGTAAATATTCACCAGGTTTGTATCTAAAGATGTAAGTATTGGATAAAGATGGAGGAAAAGAAGGCAGGCATAGGAAGGGTGGAGGGTTGACGCCACATTTTGAAATATTTATATTATTTCTACAGTCACCAAAACACGCAGCAAGATGGGGCCTCTGTTCTCACTGGCTCCTGCTGAGTCCCTGGTGAGAGACAGAATGAGTCTCAAGACTCTGGGGCCAGCTGAGCCTGGGGATTCTTGATGCCTTCCATTCTGGTTGACTAAGAAATGCCTAAGAGAGAGGATTCCTGGGGGAGGTAGATGCAGTGGCTTTCCACACCACAGCTTTCTTCTCTCCAAGGGGCTCCAATATTTCTCCTTCCCACTTCTTCTGTGCCCCGATATAAGAGGGACTTAGGATGGTCACCCTGTGCTCGGGGGACTCTCCGTCCACTCAATTCCTAGTCATTAACTTCCCTTTGCCTGGCAGATTTTTTTTCCCCTCAAAAAGCCTCTGTGATGATTTGTCCATCCTTTCACTCAGCATTGATTGTCAGCTCTGTGTCACTCACTGCTGGCCAGGGGCCAGGGATACCGCAGTGAAGGACATGGTTCCTGCCCTCAGGTGTTACTCATGTGCCCTCAGGTAGCACATGGGTAACAGGCAAAGAGGCATTTACATGAGTATAGAACAGTGATGAAAGGCTGGGTTCCTCTGGGTGTGGAAAACTTGGCTTTTCTGTCTCTTTCTTCACCTGATTATAATGCTTGAATAATAGGCCTGAAAGGGACCTCAGGACATCACCTAGCGTGTTCTCTTGCCTCTAGATCGGCAACGCAGTCAAAACCCCGGGCCTAGGGGCCCTTCCCTGTGTGCAGAGGCCTCTCCAGAGAAGCCCGCCCTCTGGCCATGGCTTTCGTTGTTAGCCACCTGCCTTTCCAGCTCTCCTGTGGCATGTGCTGCCATTCCAGCTCATCTTCTCACCTTGTCCTTGACGGTGCGGAGTGTGACAGTTTATCAGCCCCATCCATAAATGTGAGGACTCATGACAGCAGCCCTGGCCTCAGCGCCTTCCGCATCCGCTCCAGCGTAGTCCCCTTTACTTTCCCATATATTCACGGTGTCCTCAGAGCTGGTGGCAAGATGGCCTGTGGGGAGAGCGAGTTCTCTGCCGTCGAGGGCTCTGACGATTGGAGGGTCCTGTGGGGAGCGGGCCCTACTGTCTGCTTCCCCGCCAGGCTTCCAGGCCCCCTGCCCCTCCACATTTGGGATGAAGCCTTCCTTTGTCTTCCTCCTGGAGCCCTGGGGCGGGACCTGAGTTGCTATTAGTGGCCAAGGAGAACCAGCCTGAATGAAAGCCCCACACTTTTTATTCCTGGGATCTGTGGGATTTATTTTTTCATCAGTTCTAGGGAAGCAGTGAAAAAAGGTGTCAGGCCTGGGGGATAATTTATATGAGTAAACACGACCAGCGAGTGGGAGCATGAGAATTAAGGCCATTTATCCCGGCTTTGATGCTCCCTTTGCCCTCTGGTCCAGCCTTCCCCACAGTCTCTATCACGCCACTTTTAACCCTCTCCTGGCTCTGCTTCACGCTGGGCCTGCCGGAGCTCCTCGCAGGCGCCTTGTCTCCCCAGCCCGCCTCTCCCTCCTCCCGCAGCCCTCATTAAAGGCTAGGCCGAGGTAGCAGGCTGTGGCAGTGGCCTCCAGCTGAGGCTTGCTCCTGATTCTGCAGGGAAGGCACGTCGGGGTCCACCCTTACTCCCCACCCTCTCATCTCCGGCCCCCAAGCTTCCTCCTCTGGACTGGCCTAGCCAGCACGTCCCGCCTGGCCGGCCTGGGCTGCCTGTCTGCTTTCCCTCCTTTCCTCTCCCCTTTCCTTCCCTCCGTCGTCCTCTGAAGATGCGCTCTGCACAGCCAAGTGGCACGGGGCTAGCATGCTTTACACTTGAGAGATGAAGTCATAACAGGTGGCAAGAGCGGAGGCTGCCGGAGCCCAGGATTCCGGTTGCCATGGAAACATGTCAGACCTGTAGAGGGACACGGGAACTGTCAGCCTGTGGAGGGTGGCGGGGGGAACAAACGAGAGGGGCGAGGAGAGGCGCATCTCTTCCCAGAGGGCTCTGCTCACTGCCCCCGAATTCCCCAAGGGCTGTGCACCCCAACTTCCCAGGCTAGCAGGCTCCAGAAATGGAGCTGCTCAGCTGGGGCTGGGGCTGGGGCTGGGTGGTGGGTGGTGGGCACCGAGCGTGGCCGCGCATTTGTGCACACCAGGCCCTGGCAGGTGGTCAGAGCGTCTGCTCAGGATGTGAGGCCATGCTTTTGTGCACGTGCCAAGGAGGAGCCTGAACTTCTGGCCAGTTTCCTGTTCCCTAGGATGCTTGGGACGCAGCTCTGGTCTCAGCAGAACCCAGACGAGTGGCTGTTGCCGACGGCTGGTTTGTCCCTGCCAGTCATTCTTTCTGTGAGTGGCAGGCACACCACAGCGGAGATCCGACTGGGAGGGGGAGAGGCGGTGCTGCCTGGGCGGTAGTTTTATGGAAGATTTGGGGCCTTGTTTGCCATAGACATAAAACCTGATTTAACTCAAAAATCCTGTAGCGAGCACTGATACCTTTCCAGAATGCCTGCTCTCGCTTCCCTGAGCGTGGTGATGGGGCTGTGTGAAGCTTCACTTTTCATTTTTCTTGCTTTGATTTATCTGAATGCTCTTCCCTGCCTTCTGTTATTTTTCTTCTACTTTCTTCATGAACTTTGTTCCTGATTTCCATTTTTTTTCCTTTGAGCTTTTTAGAGTTATCTCCCTCAGGTAGATTTCTAAACTCTTAAGGCTCACTTTATTTTCTCAGCAACTTACTTGTATCTCTTATATGATCTCAGCCCATGAACATTAATCAACAGAAAACCACATCCATCATCGCAGATGCTGCCATAGAGATGCCAGTCGGGTCTTTGCCCTCCCCGTCATCTTATTCTATAAAGCGGGACTCAATTTCCCATAAGCAGAAGCAAAATCTCTATTTAAATCCCACTTACAAGGTCTGGGCGAGCTTCCTATTTGTAGTAAAATCTTTTTTATAATGATCTCATATACAGTACCAGGAAATTGCTCATGGCTGGGTCAGGCCATAGGCCAACCTAGCCATGATGTGAGCTTTACTTAAAAAAATTCCTTCATGAGCCTCTGGAATTCTCCAGAGAAGTGTTTTCATAGAGTAGATGACAATAAACAGGATCACCCAGGATGGATTACTGTAGTAGGGACATTAAATTTAAGTTCAAAGGGAATTTCCACTTTTATCAGGCCGGTCTCAATAATTTTTATAGCTTTGGGCTTCGTAAATATCATATTGGGCGAATCAGGTTGACTCTAAAGAGATTTATGAAATATTTTATATGCAAGGTATGGCTGCAAAGTGTTTACCTCTGGACTTCCCAGGAGGCAGAGAAGTGTGATTAGAGGCACAATCTCTGGGGACACAGACAAACTGGGGGTGAAACCTGCCTTCGAAGAGCCCAACCGAGGCTTGGAGCCAGCGCTTTAATCTCTTTGGATTTCAGTTACTGCATCTGTCAAAAAATTCCCTACTTCACAAAGTTTTTGCAAGAATCAATGAAATAACATATATAAAGCATCCAGCAAAAGATTTGCCACAGTTTTGTGGTGTGATAAATGTCTGCTTCCTTTTCTTCTCCTTTCAATACGCAGTTGAACAAAAGGGAAGCTGAGTGGATAGGCATGACCAGGTATCCTCTTCTCAAGAGACAATGAATCATTGTCTTCTATGTTCTTGTGTGTTTGGTGCAGAATGATGTCTCGCCTCCCACAGGAGGGGTACAGTATTATTCTTCCAGTGACTCAGGGCCATTGGCTACCGACTTCTGTGTACTCTGGGAGCTGGCCATGAGACCAGGTGACAGACCAATTCATGCACACATGGACCAGCTCTCCTCTGGTAGGGAAATAAACCAGGGGCAGTGAATGATATCCGGTGCTCCCAGGGCATCACTGTGCCACCCACTAACATCCCTGCCATCCCTCTCTAAAGTCACTCATCCCACAGATTGTAGGGGTTCCAACAACGGGTTAGACCTGGTCTCCAACCTGAAGGAGTAGACCTATTTAATATGGAGAGATGATAATGTGAAACGGGGAGAGGAGGCACACAGACTCAATATAAACAAGGGTCATAATGGTGATATCAACAGTACCCTCCCCAGGGCATGACTGATATGTTTTAGCTGAAGTTTGGGAGAGCTCCATGGGAGAACCCTTGCTCTGAAACTAATCCCAAGTACCAAAATGTTTAAGAAAATCAGGTGCATAAGCAATTAGTCCATTCCACACCATCTGACCACAATGGAAGGATGCTTTGAGCTCACTGTTGTAAGAAAGAGTAGAAACTGAAGCAAAAATGATTTCTCTGAAAAATAAAACAGCTGTGCATGATCACTTTCTATACTGGGCCATTGCCAGACTAAAAATGTACCTCCACACCCCAGCTGGCCTGGCATGTCACTCCTGCACATACCGGGGCCTATACATGGGATTTTAGGACCTCCCTCACCCCTTGGACAGGAACTCTGTATGGCCAACAGGATGCTGCTCAGACTCCATCTCGTCAGAAGCTTCCCTTTTTCAGATGAATTCAATTCTTTTCCTTTGGTCTTTTTACGAAGGCTGAATTCTTCCATCACTGCCTGCTTAGCTCTACTAGATCATTTCTAATTTTTTATTTCTTGTAGTATTAGAGTTCCTGATTCAATAGGGTGTTCTACCAATGGTCTGTTGGTAGTGAATGCTGTGTAGAATTGTATTAGTCCATTTTCATCTGCTAGGAAGAAACACCCGAGATTGGGTGATTTATAAAGACAAAGAGATTTAATGGACTCACAGTTCCACCTGGCTGGGGAGGCCTCACAATCACGGCAGAAGGCAAAGGAGGAGCAAAGGCACATCTTACATGGCAGCAGGCAAGAGAGCATGTGCAGGGGAACTGCCCCTTTTAAAACCATCAGATGCCATGAGACTTATTCACTATCACAAGAGCTGCTAGGGAAAAACCTGCCCCCATGATTCAATTATATCCTACTCAGTCTCTCCCATGACATGTGGGGATTATGGGAGCTGCAATTCAAGATGAGATTTGGGTGGGGGCACAGCCAAACCATATCAAGAATTAATCTGCAAGCTTTTATACTCTATATTTTACTTACTCATCCTCATACGTCATGAGGGAGACAGTGTGTTGGAGAAAATCAGATTCTTTAGTTGCTTAAAGATCTTGTGAATGGGGAGGAAATTGAAAATTATAGGAAGTCCCTAAGAGTATAGGAGAGAGACAGCTGAGGAGACTAGGCCCCCTGTAAGTTTTTATGAATGATATATATGGGATTCTCTGATTGCCTTCCATACAGGAAGCTACCTAAGTAACAACTGGCATCTCCACATTTTATATCTAGCTCATATCAATCATGACACTTAACTTTGGTTTACCCTCAGCCCCTAAATTTAGTATACCCTATCTCTTCTTTCTGTTCACCATTTGATAGTTTTCCATCCATATCTTGTTGAGGAAACCCTGAGTTTATTTGCTTCATAGAGATGCTTGGATTTTCTTAGGAGAGTTCTAAAAATGACTAAGATGGCAATTGAGGGAGAAGGGAGAAGGGGACTCTGGTACTTCTGGATTTGGGCAATGAAAATTTATAGGCAGAGTAAAATATTTGCAGATATACTGCTTTTTGGAGATTATTTGCAAAAGCATTCTGTATGCCATGCAAATGTGTTTGAGATCCAGGGACTGATGAAGACAAGCCTACACTGAACAGACCCCAGAATGTGGCCAGCTCCTCTGTGTCCCCCAAACAGCTAACACTTCTTGCAGAGAATTGTCTGCCTCCCTGAAGATGGAAATCAATGACTTAGAAACCAATTAAACAATCCAAATAGCAACTGATAAATGGATTAACCCTCTATAATGAAATTCCTCTAGCTTTTGTCTTCCGCCTTCCCCAGGTAGGTTTTCTATTCCTGGAGGCAAAGCAGAGGCATGGAGGAAGTGGAGGCCAGAGGGAATCACATTAAAGTGGGTGAATCCGTTTATCACTTACTGTCTGGATGGTATTTCTGCTCACATCTCTGCTTCCTTTTTCAGATTTGTACCGTATGGGACCCTGATTAACGTTAGCCAGTGAATAATGAAAGGCAGCAGCAGACACTGGGTCTGGTGAGGAGGAAGATACTTGGGTGGTTAGGGCTGATCCCATAAACAGAAAGACTTTTCTTCTTAGTTACAAACAGGGAGTGTGAATATGACAAAGAAATGCCCGCAATAGGGAGGGAGAAACAGAAAAAGGGAAGTATTTCTCTCCATGCAAATAATCTGTTCAAGGCTTCTCAAGCAGCCCCTGGAAATGGAATGATTTTGGTGCATAAGGACAGGTGCTATTCTCCTCACAGGCTTTGTTTTCAAAGTCATGTCCTAAGATTTTTCTTTGCTTTTGTTTAAGGACCTCCAGCAGGAGTGGGTTTTGAAGTTAGTGTGTTCAGTTATTCGTGACGGTCTTAAGCCTAAAGACATGCTCAGTAACTCACCGTTTAATCCATCTCTGGCATGAGGCTGAGCCAAGTGCCTAGAAGCCTGGGTCTAGTTCTGATTTTAGGCACTTGGGGTCTTGGGCACTTTCCATGATCAATGGGTCTGGACTTCAGGGAGATGAGACTCCCCTTCAGGGAGATTGATACTCCACCAAGTTGTTTGTCCAAGTCCCCAAGAGCATCTTTGGTGTTATTCCTGGAAATGACCTCCCATCAGTGCTTCTTTGTTTTCCATTTCAGGGACAGGAAGAATATCTCCTAAACAAGAGCACTGTTCCCAATGGCAAGGTCCAGGCACTGGCTCTTTCCTCTCCCTGTCCTCACACCATGGTGTGTGGTTTCCATCTGATGCCTGGGGCCTGGGCCCACAGGGCTGATTGTTTAGGGCTGAGAGTAGTTCACTTGACCAGTACCTCTTCTGGATGGTTTGATCATCTAAGGATGCAATCAGAGGAGCAGGGTGATTTCTGCAACAACACAGAGCTGGGGAATACTCTAAAAATTAAACTCTGGGTGACTTGCAAGATATTATTAGTACCATTAAACCCGGAAGGATCCAAAAGAAAGCGTAGCCCAATTTGCCAACTTGGTTATAATAAAACCTCAGATTCCTTCTGGAGCAGATTCTACCACACTGTAGGAGGAGAAGAAGGGGCAGTTGAAACTCATGTAAGCCTGAAATTGGAATGTTTTAAATGTTCCCACAGCCCAGAAAGGACCGGATGGAACAGTCATTCCCAATAACTACTGTGACTTCTGCTTGGGGGGCTCCAACATGAACAAGAAGAGTGGGCGGCCTGAAGAGCTGGTGTCCTGCGCAGACTGTGGACGCTCTGGTGAGTGTGGCCCCTTCCCACACCGGGTGCCCGTAGACCAGGAATGCTCCTCTTGCATTCCTCTTCCATCTTGTGGTGCTGGAGACTGGAGAGGGAAGCGATGGTGGCAATGCTTTCGAGTGGAGAGGAGTTTTCAGCTCATTCTGATATTTTTCTTCTTTGGGTCTCAAGAACCAAAAGTTATGCCCTAGGATCCGGGGGAAAGGGCAAAGAGAAGTTTTGGGTTTGTGTCTGGCCTTTCCATGAGGTGCATATTTCTTTGTGCGTGTTTTTACGGACCACAGCGAGGTAGAGTGGAAAAACCTGGAGAGAAGGCAACGTGCTTTCTTGTAGTGGATGATGCACATGTAACAGAAAGATGAGTTTGTTCTGTGGAAGTGCCTAGGGCAAACCCGAAGAGTGTGGTGTGGTGTGGAAACATGAGTATTCGGAGAGCAACCACATCTTGAATTGTGGGAGTCAGAGATCCCCGGGCTCCTGGCTAGCTGCATAAACACCACCGCCATTGGCCACTAATCTCATTTTCTAAAACAGAACAGAAGAGACCCCGATAGATCAATGAGGCAAAAGGACAGGCATTCCTAGGGCTAATCTGCAGTTGATTTGGTGTATATGTTTATATTTTAACCTATCCAAAGACTAAAATAACAGAAAGAGACTTTTGGTCTTGTTCCTTCATTCTTAAAATGAATTCAGGTCTTCAGGTTATGTTCAAATGGTTGTTTTGTTTTTTAGTTCTAACCAAACCATTATTTTTGGCTGGCCATGGTTGGTTGGTACTACCTATTTTTCATATTGTATTATGTCAGCACTAGACCACAGTGTGAGGCAGGGAGGAGGGAATTTCAACCCCATTTTTAGTCTCATCAGCCCCTGATATGAGTAGGTGAAACAGTTTGGTTGGATGCTTTGTTCCAGCAATGAGGAGTCATTTCTCCTTTCTACCTTTCTATCCAGTGTCTTTTTCACTCCCAGTCCCCAGAGAAGAACTGAGATGACCCCATCATGGTTGACTGTAGCAACTCAGCTCTTTCCTTGCTCTGTCTGCAAACCTTAGCTTTAGCCCTTTTATATTTTGATGGTAGGGCTGTTTAGGGCTTAAGGCTGGCTTGAGTAGCAAATCAGTAATTTTAAAAGGACTGTGGTTTCTGCTGCACACAACCCTCAACGTGTGACTCTCAAGGGTGGTCCATTTGTGCAATTCTGTCAGTTCATTTACTTTCCAAACATGGTACCTAACATTGAATTTTTTATTCTATGGATGCTAGCGTAGAAGACAGGGCCCTTGTGATAGCGGACTCTGTTTTTTTAAGATACTTAAAAAAAACAGATGAAATTCAATGCAGTGTTTTTTTAAAAGCAAGCAATCAGATGAAATCTCTACTTCCAGAAGCAAGGTCACTTGAAGTGATGGTCTAAGCAACACGTTATGGACTGCTGTAGGTTTGGATGGGTTAGAGGGGGCAGCTTCAGAATTCTCATTGCAAACTGCTGTAATTTCTCCCCTTCCTTTCTTACAAAAGAGGGGTGCTAGAATCGAAGCCATGGGATGTCAGGAGTGGGAAGTTGTTTTTTTCTATGCAAAGCCTCTTTCCACAACCTTCCCTCAGCTTTCCCTCCAAGGTTCTGTCTGCTATGTGGCTCAGGGAGCCATTTTCTACCAGCCTAGGTATTCTCACTGCATTTGCCAAGGATTGGTTTTGGTAGATGATTTAGTCAAGGTCTGACTCTAATGTTCCTGAAATAGTTGATACCATGGGAAGAAACAGGTGTCATTGGCCCATGAGATGAGATGTGCTTGTTAAGGCAGGTGGGCGAATACTTCTCTGGAGCCTCCCTACGGTCCTTCCAGAGAAGAGTATGGAGCTTGGAAGAGCTTCCTTCCCCTCCCATCTACCCTACCACTGCTGTTTCCTGGGAGAAAGTGAGGTTCCTGAAATTGGCACCATGAGGGATGTATCATTCCTTTATACAAGAGCAGTCCTGGGGCTCATTTAGAATGCAAAAAAGTTTAAACCTGAGTTTTACAAATTTCAGGATGCTCTGATTTATTAGGGCTTTTCTACTCCTATTTCTCACCTTTGTAGTGCCCTGAATGAGATTTGACAACTGAACTTTCTGGAGTAACCGATACCTGGGCATGGCTGGTGGCTGGGTGTGTGTGTGTGTGTGTGTGTGTCTGTGTGTGTGTGTGTGTGTGTGTGTGTGTGGTGTGCACACGTGCACATGTATGTGGATGCAGATCACAGAAATTTCCTCCTGTGGTTAAAGGAAACAAACTATTTTATCACCTACCACTTATCAGACTTTCCAACTTCCTTTTGCTTTCAGTGCAAATGAACGACATGGCGTAAGGGGAGAATTGAAAGGGTTCTGAAAGAATGGGATTAGAAGCGGGTAAAATAAAAATGAAATAGATGGAGGCTTAACCACCTTGAATGGGTTATCTGACAGTAATACCTTTGTACAGCTGACTGTCAAAGTGAAGGACAAACATTGTTCAAAGAAACACCAACAGAAAACACCAAAGAAATCCCAACCAGGCTTAAAAACCACCAATGAAAATCATTGTCTGGGGCAGGGTTGAGTGAGCGTGCAAGCGCCTGTGTGTATGCACAACAGAAGAAAGATCATGGTTGAATCTTTTGCTGTCGGAAGCTGTGGACATATGTACTATGGTAGAGATGATGCCTTTTCGGGGAGTGGGGGAAGCCTCTTCCCTGGAAATGTTTGCTTTGTCCCAAATCCCCGTCACCAGGTGATGCACCGGGTTAATCCCTTTGGTGTGCAAATGGTTTTATATCTTGCTATTAAGAATAGCATTGTAATAATGTAATGAGAATATTAATAATGCTGTCTGTTGCTTAACCCATGTGCTGATATATTCATCATACATGTCAGCTCATTTGGGAGGAGAAGGCAGGAAGGAGAAGGAGGCAGCGGCCGCAGCACGTACCACGGAGGACTTATTCGGTTCCACGTCAGAAAGTGACACGTCAACTTTCCACGGCTTTGATGAGGACGATTTGGAAGAGCCTCGCTCCTGTCGAGGACGCCGCAGTGGCCGGGGTTCGCCCACAGCAGATAAAAAGGGCAGTTGCTAAACCCACGGAACAGACTCTCTGGGCAATTAGCCATCCCCCTCTGACTTTGGTCATTGTGCTGGTTCTGATATATATTTTTTTTAATGAAAGGCAACTTTAGATTTTCCCTCTATCCTTGCTTTTTTTCCCTTCACCTCCCACGTGTCCCTCCATCCCTCCCCCCACCCCTCTGTTTTGGGTATGTACAACAGAAGCACAAACTACTGAAACAAAACAAAACAGCAGAATGAGCGTTCTTCCGAGAGATGGCATCGTGATGCGCTATTTATTTTCCATAGAAATAGGAAGTTAGACGGATTGTCTCTTTTCTGAGGGGAGGGGGTCTTTTTGACAGGAGCAGAGTTGATGTCCTCAATTTTCATATTTATTGGCAAAAGGAAGAGAAGAGGAACTTTGGGTTGGAAACAAAGAACCAATAACATTAAAACATTATTATTTATATATTCTAGCTGTTATTAGAATCAGACTTTTTTTGCGAGAGAGAGAGAGAGAGAGAGAGAAGGGAAATCAAAGAAATCGAAGCAATATCCTGTTTAGAGGCAAGCCGCCCGGTGGGGAGAATTTCCTCAATGGGAGACGGTTGCACTATTCTGTGCCCCACGGAGTTTGCGGCTCCCCGCGGCAGACCCCTCCCTCATTCTCCTCCCTGACCTTTCCATCTTCCTCTCTGCTTGCGAGAAAATGTCAGTAGTTCCAGAGAAGTCGGGGTGCCTATGCCTGGCCTCCCTCCACACCTGGGCCCTGACCAGCCGCCTCCTGGGCTCCTCCTCCTCCGTCAGTAGAGCTGCTGTTTTGTTATTGCTGGTTTTTCCTCACTTTCCTCCTGGCAAAGAACGACTTCCAAATGCAGGGATGGAATATAAGCAGAACGTCATGGGCTCAGCAGTGACTCCACCACCCGAGGCCGAGGCCGTGCTTCTGGAAGATAGAAGGAGACATCATCGTGTGTTTCCCCTCCCCTTGCCCCTGTTAAGAAACGTATCAATACCCATTGGATGATCAAGGCTACCGTATTTCTTCTATTTTTTTTTATAGTGCCTGCCAGGCACTTTGTTTTATGTTTCCAATAGCACTTCCTGAAATAAACCAAAGCAACACTGCTCAAGGCCCCTGGGGCGATGGAGAAGGCCACCCACCTCACTGACAGTCCCAAGAATGACCGGCTGCGAGGTCCTAGTCAAAAGGTATGTCTTGGCTAACCTGTCTTGCAATGTGGGCAAAACCATCATATCTATTTTTTAGTTTTCTTTTTCTTTTTCCTTTTTCCCCCAGCTTGCTTTTTTGTTTTCCTGGGTTTGGACTCCCTTCTTAGTGTAAGAGTGGCTGCTGGAGTGTCTCCCCCTGGCCCTCTGTGGCCTGTGTGTGCATGTGAACTCATGTGGGCCCTGGCATAGGTGTGTGATCTGAGTCTTGCTTGGACTATGGGAGGGGCTCAGTGTGGAGAATGGCAGGCTTCTGGCTTCAACTACAAGAGAAAATGGCTGGGGAAGTGCTTGGCTAACTCTGCCTCCCTTGGCTAAACCTGGAAGTGAAATCCAGGGAACTGAAGTTGGAGTTGGCTGCTGGATTTGGGTAGGAATAGGGAGGTTGTGGCCACAGGGCACTGCATGTCTAGGTGGTATTTCTTACTCTCGGTACCAATTTCAAAACCAAGGGGATGAGTCCAAATTAAAGAAGATCCCTGATTAGGCACAAAACTCAACTTGGCTGTTTGGAAGATTCTGCACTCCCTTTAAGGTTGGCCAGGGTCTCTTGCCTCCAGGAGTGCACAGTTCTGGAAACACAGGCAGAACCATTTGACATGGGTTGGGAGACCCAAGTAGCTGCCTGGTTAACAGACTGCTTATCAGTGTCTCTGGGAAGATCTACTTTGACAGTCCAGCCCCTGCAGATCCTCATGAATTAGACCGCTCCTTAAAATAACAAACCAACCTAAAACACAAGGACAAGCCAAGAAACCCAGAAATGAGACCTTTGTGCTTTCCTGGTAGCCTGAGACAGAAAGGGCTTCCACTTTTCTCATGCTTGAGATGTGTATGTGATCGCCTGGGCATTTATTCTCAGTTTTGAGGGAATGAAAGTAACAATCCCAACCACTTTTGGGTTGTTCTGTCTAATCTATATGTGGCCTGTTCCTAGGAAATATGGCATAAACCTCCAAGGTTGTCATATTCTGCATGCTCACACGTCAGCCAATAGAGTTTGTTCCAGTAGGTTTCTGCTACGGGGATACAATGTACACTTGCTGTCATTTTCCACCTCTTTACTCTGTACCTTTGACTCAGATATTGGATTCATGGGATTACAACTTGCTTTCATTGATAAAATGTGAGCTTCTATGTTAATAAACATATGTTCAACCAATCTACACTCTCATTTGAATTCTGTCTAGTTGCTCATAGTCCCAGAATTCTCAATGACAATTTGCCTTTACACTTGAGGTGTTTTTTTTTTTAATCCACATATTTAAAGCAAATTATAAAAGGCTACCTAATTTCAGAGTCTAGCTTGGAGTCTAACAGAGAAACTAACCATTTAGAACTAACAAGGCAAACTCCCAGGAGAATGTTTATCTGAGAATGGGTATTGCTTGTCTATTTTATATTTAATAGTATAGCTTGATATTTGATCTTCAGTTTCTCTTCTTGGAGGTAGTTGATATCCTCACTTTTCTTCCTTGGGGTAATAGAAGCATAGTAAGGTTTCTTAGCATGGCCAGACCATCTTGTCTCACCTTGCTTATAGAGTCTTTGAACGGACTCAAGATTTATACCCTTAAAAACTGGAAGGGACTTTTAAGATGATCAAGTTCAAATCTTTCACTTTTCAGTTGAGAAAAGTTGACCCAGAGAGGTTAAGTGAGTTAAGTTGGAGGGACTGGGATGGGCATTGCATTGGAGGGAAATGTTTTAAGGCAAAGGAAGGAAGCTCCGAGAGAGAAGGTGTCGGATGAGGAAGCTGGCTGTCCTTGGTTTCCAACCACTTTAGTGGTGGATGTGATATCTTTATCTCCCTTTTTCTAGATAGCAGTCATCTACATTTTTGTGTGAGGCATTATTCTGGGCGCTTTCCTTGGAATATTTCACTTAATCCTCATGACTACTCCCATGAGATAGGTGTTTATATTAATCCCCAGTTTGCGGAAACTGAGGTTAGTAATAAGGTTAAGAAATGTACACCTAGGAAGGAGCCAGGTTTTGATCCCTGGCAACCTGATTGTAGAGCCTATACTCTATCGTTGCCTGCATTGCCCCTTGCATAGTCTATAATTAAGGAATATATATGCATGCATGTATACATACTTTGCTGTTTCTCAATTCCAACTGAAGAAAAGGGTTTTTGTAATGAATATAGCTTTTAAAAGGTAACGTCATTAAAAGAAATTTCAACAACGGAAGAGTAAGCAATTAGATCCTGTAAAAGAGAGTTCTAATTCAGATTCTCTGCGGAATATTGTAGATAACTTACCTTCTTAATCATCACTTCTAGACAATGTACAAAGAGATCACCTTTTTTGTGACCTTAGGAATTGTAGGAGCTGTGTGAACAGTCAACACACCTTTCTGTTGTTGCTTTTGTTAAATAAGTATCACTACTCAAAATTTAAAATACAAAAGAAATTAGAGTCATCAAGATGAAAACGATCTGGCCAGCTTCCTTTGCCCTCAGCTCAGTAAAGTACCACCCTGAGTTTTCTGAGTCCCAGGCCAAAGAGAGGGGAACCAAAGATATAGAACTTTCTAAATTTGTTACAACATTTTAATCCCCTGGGGAGGGGGGCTGTTGACCTAAAGGTGACAATTGTTATGGTCTAGCTGATTTTTTTCCCTACCTAGAACAATCAAATCCTTTATTTCTGTTACTGAGAGACTATGTAAAGATCAGACACTATAATCACTATGACCCTGGGAATTAGAAATATGCATTTAATTTTTTAGAGGTACTATAAAGACAGTAATCCAATTTGCTACCGGTATTTTAGAGAGAAGAATTTAATAAAAAAAAATGTGATGTTCACATCAATAGCATCCCTTTAAGGGTTCCTGCTTACTCTGCATCTCTCTCTGCATCTAATGGGCTACAGACTGATACTGCTTTATACAGCACTGGAGGGAATGCAAGATCATTACTCAGGGAGAGAACTAAAGGGTGTTTGGGGGTTCTCACCTCATGGTGGAATAAAATTAATTAATTTTATCCCAGTATACCTCCTGTTACATCTGATGAATATGATCTTGAACGTGTACTTAAAATTGGAGCAGACTCATCTGTTAGGAATTTTTCCTCAGGGGATTTTGCTCAGCCTTTGGAGGAGAAGTGACTTGTGTTGTGTATTTTCTGAGTGAGGTGTCTTTGATCTGGTGTGTGGAAGCCTAGAGTGGAGATGACAAGTTCTGGGCTCTGGGCTCAGCTCCCTGTGTGAATTTGTTGACAGGGATCTCTGCCTCAGTTTCTGAGAGAGGAAATGGACATTTCTTTCCCTATTAGAATATGTAGCTTATATTATTTCATGATGATGCTTAACTCTATGAGGTAGGGTAGATGTTATTTATTCCCGTTTTACTGATGAGGAAACTGAGATTTGATCCTGTTTGATGACTTGTCTAAAGTTCCAGGCTCAGTAAATGATGTATGGATCTTCTAATAATCTTTCCTAAGTCTATACTGACTTCCCCAAAGATCATCTTTGGAAGATTTCTTGAGTGAAATCAGTAAAATGCCTGTAGGTCTTTTATTCAAGAATTTATTGGATGAAAAGGAGGTATTTGATTCTGTAAAAGAAAAAACTGAAACAACAGAAACCCCAAATGAAACTATGACACATTAGAATCTTTCTGAGAAGTAGCAATGTCTAAGTCCTCATGAACTTTCTGGGAGAACTAAAGTTGAGCTTCCTAAATGGTCACTGTTTTTGTGGTGCCAGTGGTAGCGGGAGTAATGGTGGCAGGGAGTGAACATTTTGGGCCCTGGTCACAAACCCAATTGCTTCTAACACAAAAACATTGAATTATATAATATTGTGGTGTTTAATAAAAGTGATTTCTGATCACCTATTCAAAATAGCAATATAGGAAAAGCCATTCTGCATGATTGGTTTACAAAATAAATGGGAATGATGGAAGATTCCTGTCAGAACTGAATTATTAGATAAAAAACATTGGCAATTAGGTTTTCAAAGTATCTCACCACTGGAACTCAACCAATAACTATGGCTTTTTAAAAAATTTACTTCTGAAATAATTTACACTTACAAAAAACTTACAAAGATTTTACCAAGAATTCCCATATGTCCTTCACCCAGATTCTTCAAATAACCACAGTACAATGATCACAATCAGGAAATTCACATCGATGCAATGCTATAACCTACAGACCTTATGCAAATTCTGCCAGTTGTCTCACTAGTGTCCTTTTTCTGGTCCAGGATCCAGTCTGGGCTCACAGGTTGCCATGTCCTCTTACAAGTCCTTTAATCTGGAATAGTTAGTACTACAATCTTGTTTTTCACAACCTCGATACTGGTTAGTCATTTCATAGCAAAAGCCATTCAGTTCAGGCTTGGATGCTGTTTTTCTAATGACTAAACTGAAGTTGTGCATTTTGGTTAGAATACCTTAGAAATGATGTTGTATCCTTCTCAGTGCATTACATCAGGAGGTATGTGATTGATTTACCCCATTACTGGTGACTCAGACATTTGGCCTTTCAGCTGAGATTTCAGGCTATTCTGTTTACAGACCTTGGATGATAACATTTTCATTCAGATATACCTCGGTTCATTTGGCAACTAGGGACTGAGTAATAACAGTATGCGTGTGACTGCTCAGCACTGTCAAGGATAGGATAAAATTAAACATGGGGCAATGAATTTATTGGCCATTGGATTTATTTTGTGACCTAGTGGATCAGACTAGAAATTCACAAATAGTTAAAATCATGTAAGAGCTGTCATGGGGTAGTATGTGATTATTTTTGCCATGGATCTCAGTAGACAAGAAGATTTTCTTGGAGGAAGCCATCTAGATCAACAAAGAGCTCCAGATGGACCGTTGCTGTTGAATCTGTAGGCAAGAATGTCTATTGTCAGAGACAATGGAGATAATATTCGAACAAAAAGCAAAGCTGGGAATCACAACCTAACCCATGTAAAATGGCAAAAATCACCATTTGAAAACCCGCCTAAGTACCATTCCATAGCATTTTGTTCCTGCCGCTCCTGTGCTTATCACAACACATCATGTTTGCTTGTAGTCCTTCTCAAACAGATGGCGTGTTCCTTGAGGGCAAAGGTGATATCACTCATATCCTCCAGACAGTGCCTGACACCAGTGTGCCATAATTATTTGTTGAAATAAACTGAGAACTGAGCAGTTTCTGAGATAATTAGTGGAAGTCTTACCAAATCTCACTCTATGCATAGAGGATGCTTAATAAATATTGTTGACAGAAAGAATGGAGAAGTCTCTGGACACAGCATCCAGTGGTTAAGTCAGAGGGGGCAGGTGGGAGGTGGTGAGGTGGTGGTGAGGGGTAAAGGAGAGAAAAGGGGGATGTCAGGACAGGGGTGGGGAGGGGTTGACCATGTGTGTGGAGGGGTAGAAAACTATGCCTTCTTGCAGGGGATTGAGAGCAGGAGACTAAGAACACAGCTGCACATTGTTTCATTTTTGTGGCCTGCAGTTGACCTGACCAGAGGAAACAAAAGAGAAAATGGAAGTTAGGAGTGCCAAGTTGGGACTCACGCATGATTTTCTAGGTGGCTTTAGTGGGGCAAAGGAAAAATACATGTGTGTGTGTGTTGGGAGGTCGGGGTGGAAATTTGAAGAAACTGAAAGGTGTGGGGTAAGCTTATGAGACAGACTCACTACAGAGTGGCAGGTAACATCTGACCAGAGGGGTCAGGGCACTGGGAGAGGGACAGAAAGACTCCTGGCAGGGAGTGAAATGATGACAGATGCCCATGGAGAGAACAATCGGCAGGCGTTCTGTGGGAGGTCCCAGGAAAGGTCACCTGGGTTTGATCAGTCAAGGGAAGGAGCTAGAGGCAGGTGGTGACAGCAAAGAGCATGAGGGAAGTGGGGGTAGGGTGCACCAGCAAAGCGGATCAGAAAGGGAGACAGTGGGGTGGGATGGGGTAGAGGCAAGGAACAGGAGCAGGTGTGGAGGGAGGACTTGGTCAAGGAGGAAAGTTGGATGAATGGAGTCTCAGCTTTGGAAGAGCATCTAATCCAGGCCTGTGCACCTGGCCATTGAGTGATGCTTGGGTACCAGGAGAGGTGGGGCAGGGGAGGGGCCTTTCAACTTGGAAGAGGCTGAGCTGCTCATTTGCTTTTGAGCTTTTTTCCTTGCTGGCTTGGCCATTTTCCATTTAGGCCCATTCTCCCTCTTCTCCCTCCCTTATCGCTCAGCTTAATGTGATCTAGGCACTGTTGGGACACCCATCTCTGCTTTCAGAAACTGCTTCCGGGGTGAAATGTGGCAGTACTTGGTTTCATTGCTCACTCCTTTGTGTCAACTACTCCGTTCCAAAGACCAAAATGGCAGATTTCATTTCAGCTAGAAGCAAAAGCTATGCGTGGCTATCCAGGCAAAAGGGCCCACCTGTGTGAACCACCACCAGGTTCCAAGGCTGACAAAGGGATCACTGTGCTAGTAGAGGACTGGAACTGGTCTCTTGGTTGGGGACTGTCTCCGAGTAACTCTGACACACTTGAATCACTTGGGGCAGGGTTGGGGCTGAGTGTGAGTGCTTGTGAAGGAAGCAGTGTCCTTTTGGGCTTAGGCCAAATGAGGCATCTGATGGGGTTTTCTGTGGCTGAATTGGTTCTATACCATAGAACTACTCATTTCTACTTGGATGGCAGGGAGAGAGATGACATCATAAAGGTCCTTTCTGGGGTGTTTTAACTGTGAAAAGATTCAGTTTGTTTGGTTTCTAAGTGGAGGGGAATTTTTTTTTTTTTTTTTTGCTAACACCCAGTTCTGCCTGCTACACCACCTGGGAATTGACCATCCAGCTGTGTTCTCTCTGCCTCTGGCCCAGTAGCAACTGACCTGCCCTATTCCTGGCTGATCTCATGCTGCTGAAGTTCAAGGCGCTGGACACACTACCCTGATTTTTGTTGCACCTGGCCTAGCCTCATTAACTTGGCAATTAGTTGGTGGTTTTCTTTCTTTCTTCTTCTTTTTTTTTTTTAATTCATTTCATTTCTGTCACCCCTTAATTTTCATCTTTCTTTTTTAAGTAGTTGTTCCATGCTGTTGTTTTTTGTTTTATCTTTCATTGCCTTTCCCTCTGCAGTCAACATTATGACCTGGGGACTCCAGCATCCTTCAAGCAAGCCATTTCCGAAGAAGGTGAAAAGAAGCCAGGATGATTGGCACCTCCTCCTCCTCCTCCTCTTCTTCCTCTTCCCTTGCCCAGCCCCCTCCTGTGCGTGTGTTTCAGACAACACAGGAGCCAGCACAGGAGTGGAAAATCCTGCAGCGCAACTCAGCTCAGCCCACAGAAGCCTTGGGAATGGCCTCAGTTTGTGCAATAAGAAGATTTTTTTTTTCTTTTTAAATCTTCATTATATTTTCTTTGATTGTCTGTGAGAAAGTACCCAGGTCCGCCTGGAATTACTCTACAGTAGAAATAACTGAACACAAACAAACTGATGGAAAAAAAGAGTTAACTATTTTATTTATTTCAATATTTAAAAGGAAAAAAGTGCTGACATGGCACAGTATTTTTGTTTAAAGTACCTCCTACTTCAAAAGTTAAGCGCAATTTTGTGAAGACATGAAATCATAAGAGTACTTAATGTAAAATAAAAGACTGCATATTAACTCTAAAGAAAAATGCCCCACATTTTAAATAAGAAAATAAAGATCAACTCTGCTCTCTCAGGCTTTTTAAAAAGCCATTCATGTATGTGCTTTAGGTATTTTTATTTCTGCGAGTTGGATGTGGTAAGTGAGGAGTGCTCAGTTTTTTTTTCCTCCTTCAAAAGTCTATTGAAAGTGTTGGTGATGTTAAATGATTGTGTGTTAAGATTTGACTGAAATAACTTAGCCACAAATCAGCAGTTTCCCCCACCCTCATTGCCCCCTCACCCCAGGCAAGCCCCTTTTATCTGAATGTCAGAAGCAGCCTGCCTCCTAGTTATCATGTCTGATGAGGTCTAGCTCAGGAAGGAATTCCATCTATTGATGGAATATATCCCCTCAAGTTCAATAGATTCGAACACAGAGAGCTTTGTTTAAAATAATGCAGCAAAAAAAAAAAAAAAAAAAAAGCAAAAATAAAAGCATCAGCTGAGGTGATATTAGTTCAGTCACCTAACAACTCCTAGAAGAGATGAGGAAAGGGAACCTTCTGCTGAGCTGGCTTCTGGGGCCTGAGCTTCCAGAGCTGTCCCCAAGGGCTAGGAAGGCCGACCTGAAGGATGAGAACCTCAAATTCAGTTGCTGGTGGGAGCCAAGGAAGACGGCGGGTGTTCTAACATGGCCCTTTCTGGCTGAGCTGGCGGAAGTGGGCGTTTTGGCCGATGGGATGTATCTCGGCGCTGTGTCTGTGGCCCAGCAAAGGTGCAGGGCTGACTGGCTGAGCCACTGGGTTCTACCCGCAGGCTCCCCACTGCACTGGGCTTTCACACAGCCATGCTCTTGGGTTTCCCTCCCTTGTAAGCAGAGTCATAATAACACACGAATAGTCTAAGGCTGGGTATTCTGGTCAGCAGAGGTCCTTGAGTCACAGTGTTACTGAAATGGTTCTGAGCCTGAGAATCTCTTTGGCCTCTGAAAGGGCAGGGCAGGTGGGCACCGACTTCCTGCCAGTCCTTTCAGGTTTCCTGTTCAAAGCCAGTCCTGTTGGTGGAGGGGATCACCGAGAGTGTCTGTATCATTTTGTAGCCCTTTTCTCTGACGTTTTCTGGTAGAAAATGTCCCTTGTCAAAATGCTAATAATTATCATAATAATCTGCTTTCCAACCAACTCCCACAAGTGACAACCTGTGTAGAACTGTGATAAAGGTTTGCATAATGTAGGGTTTGTACCAAGTGTGTGTAAGTTTCTGTTAAATAAAAAGTCTGTTTCCAATGCTCCTATAGCATCTCTGTAAAATTTGCTTGACCAACCAAGCTCATCCTGTGTGAGTTCACTTTCACGCCGTCATGCGGCAGGGACTCCTGAGATGATTCTTCCCACTTCCATGCCAAGATTTGTTGAACCTTGTTGTTTTATTTACAAGCATGGTCTAGAACAGCAGTTGCCACTGGCTTGGCTGACAGATGGTGGCCTGGAAAGTGAACAATGCCCAGGGTTGGTGCCAGCGTTCATTCTCTGAGCCAGGGTTGCTGTCACCCACTCCCCCATCACCATCACCATCACCATCATCACCCTCTCCATGGCCAAAATTGATGGATTGAAAGCCTGATTATGTGAACCGACTTAGTATACCTGTCCAAGGTTGCTGTCACACCTGTGCCAAGAATAGAAGTTTTGCACAAAAATGCAAGATTTAATGTGTGCTTAGAATAGGTGGGAGGTTAAAATTTTCATTGCCTGGAAGGTGCTGTTGGTGTAGCCTCCCAAGCTGCCGGTTGGTGCAGCTGTCAGCTGGAACCCCCGGGGTAGGCTTTCCTTGTGTGTGAAGATGGGCCCTCTTATCTGAGGGGTCCTCTAGGTCAGACAGAACCAGGTGAGCATGTCAGGCCAGGTCTTGACCTTTGAGCATTGCTGGCCCCCAGTGGGGCCAAGTGGAGATGAACATGACACTGTAATGCTGCTGCTAGTGTACTCCATCTTTCTTTAGACTGAATATCACGTTATGCCTTGCATTATGGACTTTGTAAGTTTTCCTAGCAGTAAAAAGAAAGCCCCACACCAGTATGGTGCCCTCCTTAGGGTTTTTTTTTTCCTTTTTATTGTGATGAAATATGCATTACATAAAATTTGCCTTTCTAACCGCTTTTAAGATATAGTTCTGTGTCATTAAGTACATTTACATTGTCGTGCAACCATCATCACCATCCATCTCTAGGATTTTTTCATCTTCTCCAACTGAAACTCTGTACCATTTAAACACGTACTCCCCATTCCCTCCCCAGCTCCTGGCAACCACCATTCTACTTTCTGTCCCTCTGAATTTGACTCCTCTAAGTACCTTGTATAAATGGAATCATACAGCATTTGTCCTTTTGTCACGGACTTATTTCATTTAGTGTAATATCTTCAAGGATTATTTACGTAGATGTGTCAAACTTTCCCTACTTTTGAAGGCTAAATAGTATTTCATTGCATGTGTAAACCGCATTTAGCTTATCCATGTATCTTTTGATGAACACAGAGTAAAATGAAGTTTCCCATATTTATTACACATCACCCACTTCCTATAGTGACTCAAAATTTGAGACATTAGGTTCAATTAAGAAGTCACCTAAGGAATAAAATATCTTCTTCCATGGGAAGCGATTGCACCCTCTAATTTACTCTCTAGAAAAGAGGACCTTGATTCTGATGGGCCAGTGCTTTCTACCTAGAGTGTGTCTTTCCTCATGACTCGGGCTTTCTTTGCATATACTATCTTTGGGCTGCTCACAGGGATGAGAGGTCTGGCATGAAGGTGTACTATCCATGTAAATAACTAAGGATAGAGGAGATCCAGGATGATCAAATGTCCATAATAGTGGGCCATGAGGACAGGGACTGACTTTTTCACGTGTCTGATAATGGGTTGTAGGCCAAGAATGATGTGCTTTCTGTCTATAGATGGTCACTGACCAAGAGGGAGGGCAAAAGTACACACATGGGCCAGAGAATGAAAAAGAGAGAAAGAAATCATGTTCCTCATCCACTCGGAAACATGTAGTTACCATAGATGGTTAGCTCTGGGGTTGCCAATCCGATGCTGACAGAGCAGGTATCTTTGGTGAATGAAGCAGGGCAGGTGTGACATAAATGACAATGCCAGAGAGATGTGGAACAGCCCTTGAGGCTCAGTCTCAGGTCACAGGGAGACAACAGGAGTGGTAGGGAGTGTCTCAAACCAGGAAGCACCTGTGCTTCCAATGGGGCAGCCGTGACTCAGCTCAGGGGATGCAGCCTGCAGGAGGTGGGCCCAGGGTTCCCAGATCTTTTTTTTTTTCAAGGGAGGTCACAATTCAAACATTTTGATGAGATCTCCCCATTTTTCAGTGTTGGTGATAAATGAAAAATGAAAACTGAAGATCAGCTTTGAGTGCCCTAACTGAACATGACCATGTGCCTACTGGGCACACTTAGATGGCTTTGGGGCAGCTTTTCCCAAGGGCTGCCAGTCTGGGTAAGGTGGAAGTTGAGGTTGGCATGCCTTGTTCAGATTCTCATAACAGCGGATCTTTGCCTTAATCTATGGATGCCTCTAGCAGTATCCTGACTTAGGATTGTTATGTGGTGGGAATGGGTCCCTGGGTTGGTCTCTGGATGGAGCTAGGTCATTATTCAGCACATGTTAGGGATGATTCAAGATATGGCTCCACCAGAAAACATTCCCCTATCCATTTCTTTTTCCTCTGCATGTACCTGGAAGACCTTCTCTTTAGAACTCTGGGTAGAGTTGTACAGTTTAGAGATTTTTTAAAAAATTCAGTTTATTCTTATTGATGACCAGTTGTCTATTACATCACATTCCTTTTACCCTTCTTTTCTAAGAAACCCAAATCACTCCATGTAACTAGAACCATATTTGAGTTTTATTATATCCCTAAATCATCAGTTTCAGAACTTCCTTTCATTAAAAAAATCCTTCCGGAATTTTAATTTAAATTAACCTTGTAAGTATTTTATATATAGACTTTTACAAATTTTTTAAATTTTTTGTGGATACATAGTAGATGTAGATATTTATGGGGTACATGAGATGTTTCGATACAGGCATGCAATGTGAACATAAGCACTCATAAAGAATGGGGTATCCGGCCCCTTAAGCATTTATCCCTTGAGTTATGAACAATCTGATTACACTCTTTACATTATTTTAAAATATTCAGTTAAGCTACCACTGACTACAGTCACCCTACTGTGCCATCAAATAGTATTTTATGTTTTGTATGCATCTTATTTCAGAGTATACTTTGTAAGAGAGTTAGGCTGGCTTTTAAGTATGCGAACACTACTCGCTGGGGTCATGGTTGTTTTCTGGTTTTGTTTTCTTTTGTTGGGTTGGAGAGGAGGTTATTCTGAATAAGAAATTTTTTTGCCTTATCATTTATAATGGGGATCAGCAAATTTCTCCTGTAACACACCAGATAGTAAATATTTAAGGCTTTGTAAGGCAAACATCTGTCACAACTACTCAGCTCTGGGTGAAGCATGAAAACAGCTGTAGAGGATATGTACAGGAATGGGCATGGCTGTGTTCCAATAAAACTTTATTTACAAAAATAAGCAGTTGGCCAGATTTGGCCCACAAGACATAGTTTGCTGATCCCTAATTTAGAAATGAGAGTATTGCACTGCTCAGTTGGGGGTGGTGGTGGTGGTGGTAATAGGGCATTTTCTAAGCTTCAGGACTATGGAAAGAGAATTTCACATTACCAGGTGAAAGGCTACTGATGCATTTCATGATCAGTACTGTAAACTATTTCATGGCCAAATGCAACAAATGTTTCACAGCCAGAAAAATCTCACCACAAGATTTTGGAAAGCTGTTTACTAGTTTTTCTAGTTTTGGTACAGAGTCCAAACTGCAGTAGTGCCATGTTTACCAGAAGTGTCTATGAATAATCCAGCAATGCATAACAGCGACTCTCCATTGTGGACATCATGACTAATATTATTCATCTCTAGCAACTTGGGTCTTATGAGTTAAGTGAACATAGATGGTAGAGTTTCATCTGTATGAGACAAATGATAGGAGACAATGAGTGGGGCCCAACTTGGGAGATGTGGAGTTGTTGCCATTAGAGAAATGGTCTCTTTGGGGTCAGCACAGATTCTTTAATGGCTGTGGCTCCTTAAAGTGGTTAATTATGGAATGTTGAGGATGTTGCTGAGATATATTTCTTCCTAAGTACTCAGATTCTTCATATTCAGAATCACACTTTCCCAACTTCTTACTTCACCTCCCAAAACAACCAGTAAGATAACATGTTCTTCCTTGGATGGTGGAGAAGATTACTGATGCCAGACCTACTACTGAATTGAAACCTTCTTACTAGTTGCACATGAAATGATCCTGAAGGGTGGTCGATGAGCTAGTCATGATAGGTGGTAGTAGTCAAGCTAAGTTTATTGAAGAGATGCTCTTTAGCCATTGTTAGTGGATACTCCATTGTGCTGAGAGGATCAGTGACTTTCAGACCTCAGGATAACTTTCAGCGGGGTTTATTGCTAAGTTACCCCAGTTACCTCCAAGTTTCCTGAAAAGGGGCAGTGTTTGGGATAAGCAGGTTAAATATCTGTTTCATTTTCTCCAAGTTCTACCCTGTGATCACATATGAAGTCACCCAGAAGTTAGTTTTCAGGCATAGACCAGGAGGAGAAAGAGTCTTCAAACTAAAAGTTAGAAAATGCTATGCTTTGTATTTTATTAAACATTGTGTGAACGACACACATCGTTTGGTTACCTGATCTTTCTTTACACCAGACTAGGAAATACTTTTTTGAGAGGTGATGACAGTGGTCATCAATGGTTTAGCATCAATCTGCTTGACTGGATTATGTTGATTGTATTATTGGCCATCACCTGGCAAGGCACAATTATAGCTGAGATAGATCTGGAAGTCGTAGTGGATCACAAGCTGGAGGAGTATTGTGTTGTTTATTTTTAAGAAAGCATGATAACCAAGCTGCGTTAAACTAGGAATGATGTGGAAGGTCTGGGAAGCAATGCTTCAGCTCTATTTAATATTTGACACCACTGTGTTTGAATTAGCGGAAAAAGACTGTGGGAAATCCAAAAAGTACAGAAAAGCTTATTAACAATATGTTTAACAGGATGAACAATAAGCCCTTTAAGGAAAGGTTTGTGGATTTGGGGTTGTTTAACTTGGGGAAAAGAATTAGGGGTCACTTAATAGCTGTTGTTATGTGTATCACTGAGATAAAGGCACTGACCAGTTACATTTGGTCTCCAGGGAGCACAGGAGAAACACCTTGGTGCCTAAAACAAATAGACAAGCAGTTCTTTTGACACCAAGCATTTTAGACTGTCGAGGCTGATGCGGAACTCACTGATAGCCAAGCATTTCTCTTGCATAGAGTTGGGGGCATGGGTTAGATGACCTCTTGGGGTCCCCATTTAGTTCTGTAATGTTTTACATTATAGCTAGATGACCTGGAAGAGTTGGTGCCTAACTCACCACCAGGAAGTGGGGAGACGTGGAGAAGATTAGTTTCACGGATATGTATTCTGATCACTAACTAAAATTACATTTCTAGGCTTGTTTATATTCACACTGAAGCAATGTCTCAAGCCTTTTGTTGACTTCCATTGTTTTGGTAGCATGAGCCACGAGCTGAAAAGTGAATGCAGTGGCAAGACACATTTTCCTCCAGAGAAATGCCAAGTATGTGAAAAAGAGACAGTGAGAAGAAACTGTAAGAACAGTAAGGCCAAAAGGCCACCAGGTGAAAATGGTTCTGCTGAAACTCCATCTGAATTCCACTCCAGTTTTCATCTCACTGGACACCACCACATCCAACATCATCTTTGGTGCATGGATTTCATAATTGCTCACAGGACTTGGATATTATTCTCAGCATGATTTTGGTTGAATGACCTCACTAATATTCATGGTTGTCTACTATGTTGTCTCCAATCTGGGGAGGAAAGGTCTTATTAGAAGACGAATTTAATTATATATACAATTATATTTATATATGTTACATATATAGATAAATGACAAAAATTCTGCTTCAGAAAAGAAGTGATCGGCATTCTTTCTAAATAATTTTAAAAAGAACTCCAGAAAAATTTTGCTCTGTGTTTGATTTAAAGAAGTAGCAAGGATTGTACCACATTTAGCACGTGAAGTGAACTTTCTGTGGACCATACATATTATGGAGTTTGGGGATGGAGACAACTTATGTAAGAAAGAATGTAGTATGAATTGCCAGCATGAACATTTGTGCTGAAACTTCTGCTTGGCTGAGTGATGAGTACAGAGAGACTGGCAGTTTGTAATCCTGAAAACTTCTTTAGTTAAAGTAGACTGTTTTACCCTCCATAGATCTCAACTTTTTGTCCGTAATTGAAAAATAGATCCATGTGTTTTGACCGCATGCTGCTACTTTGTATAATGACCCTCCAGTTACTGGTTTTCTTTATACTACTTATAAATGAATCAAACATATACCAAATGTCTTGTGTTGCCATAATGTGCTAGGTTCTGCAAGACATAAAAGAAACAAAGGGGAACTGGAATAACCTTTTGGGGGTTACTTTCTATGCATTAGTTACTGAGTCTAGGCTTTTTATAGATATTAACTTGTTAAAGCCATATAACAGCCCTTTGAGATTAAGATTACAATTCGTATTTTACAGAGATGGAAACTGAGGCTCAGAGAGATTGAGTTGACAAAGGCAGTGGTGATTGCTGGTAAAGTCTGATTTTTCCAATCAAGGATTTTTCTGGCTCTAAAGGCTTCTCCACTGTGTAAGGCACCTTTTCTGTTCTGGAGGAGGTGAAAGAGGTGGTTAGCATATTATTCAAGACAAGACCATTTAAAATTAAGTGCCAACTTGGTGCAAAATGTGAGTGCCAGTTAGGCTCAGGAAAGGGACCAGTGCAGGTTGGAGTAGCGGGGGAAGTATAGAAAGAGGCATAGAGTTGGGGTAGACAAATAGAAGGCAGACCACTGAGAGCAAGAGTGGGAAATACCTGAGCAAAGGCTCAGAGGTGTGAATGGGCCCAGGAGGCTTGGAGCCCGAGCAGAGATGAGCGTGAATGGAGTGGAAGGAAGATCCCAGGCTGCTGGGGGGAGTCACAGGTATGTTACGAGCGTCCACACTGTGGTGGGGCTTGATTCACTAGGGCATTAGGGCACTGTAGGAAGGAGGAGGCTGGCCACGAGCTCTTGAGCAGGATGCATGTGATGTGTAGGATGATTGTGAGGACAGCTGAACTGGGCATGTAAGGAGTTTGGGTTTGTCTACCTTTCACCACCAGGTTGCCTCTGATCCTGTCGTGGTTATAGGATCCTAGACCTTATGGGGAAAAGAAGTGATCAGCACTCCTTCTAGTTGTAGATGTCGTAACAGAACCCCAGTTTCTCCTGTCTTCTGGGTGATATTTACCCAACTGATAAAATCTTCAAAGTGCTGAGTGTCAATTCCATGGGCATTTCCCACCAGTTATTATTCTGAAACCAGAGAAACTGCGATGACACTACCTGCTGGGTGGTAATGCATTTGGGAGGAGTGTGGGATATCCTGAGATGCTGGCTGGCTCCAGAAAGCTTTGTATCTGACAGGCCAATTTAACTTTGGGATCAAAATCTATGATTGTTCTCCTAGACAAGTTGGAAAAGGGTTTATTTGAAAAAGCACCCTCTATCTAGACTGATAGGTCACTGAATGTGATGCGAGGAAAAGAGAGGAAACCAGGCTGAGTTGCTGGCCGTGAAGCTCCTTGGGGTCTGACCCTCAGCTGATTTACTTCTTGGAGGACCTGAGAAGGGCTGAGCTTGCAAGCCCTGACTGCTGGCTTCCATTTCCATCACTGATTCTCTTCGCTCTTCACCTCACCTTGTCGGTAGGCTCCTCGCTGGCCCCTGAGGCCGAAAGAGGTGCAGCCATGTGTGAGGAGTGTGCACTGGGAGTCAGGGGATCTTAGCCATCCACTCCGTGGAGGCCCGGAGTGGTAGGCCCTCCCTGACATGCTGAATAATCACCAGTGCACTCTCAATGTAATCTTCCTAGCAGCCTTGTCAGAAGTGATTGTCCCACTTAGCAGATGAGTAGACCAGCACTCGGAAGGGTTAAGTGACTCAGGCCAAAGCTGTGCAGAAGTGATAGGGCTAGACTAGACTCCGGGTCTTCCTTCTGATGTTCGCATTAGTGCATGTGCCATTGCATGTTACTCCCAATAATGTTCAGTGACAATTGTCTTGCTTATGCCTGGCTGAAAGTGGCAGAGCATTGGACTAAAGAGGTTATTTGACAGCATGGAATTGAAACCCACAACAGAAGAATATCCATCCTCCTCCTGAGGAAAGGAAAAACAATTGGATGTGAGCCTTCACATTGACCTCTCTTCCCACCCTACCCACCTCTGCATCATCTATACAGCACCTGGGCCTTGTACAGCGTGGTCTCACCCAACCCTTGCAAACTCCCTCTTGTTCATCTGCCTTCAGATTGTAATATTTATGTAGATCTGGTACAGCCCGCATTCTGGGGCCCACTGTTCATTGTGCATTCAGTGCAATGGGGCAATGTTCTGTTTTATGCACCCACCTATGTTACCTACATAGTGGTTTGAAATTTCATGGTGTGCTCTGTGATAAACACCCCAGGTCTGCCTCTGAGGGCCATATTAGGGCTATTGCAGGCAGTCCTCTGAGTTGATTTTGCCCAGCAGAGGTTGAGAAGGTTGGCTCTAAAGGAAGTCTCTGTCTGCTAAATGGCCCAGGGAGAAAGACCTTGCCTCCCTGCTTCTCCTGCCTTAATTTCAGGAAACTCTCTGCAGCTTACCCCGCCTCCCCCCAGCACCATCCTTCTGGTCTCTGCTGTGCTAATCACAGCTCATTCTGGCTGCAAGCCTCATTTGGGGAACGAATGCTCCAGGACTCCCAAAATGGGAGGAGGGAAATTAAGGACAGTTGGCCAAATGAGTCAGCCCACCACCACCAATGAGTCATGGGGACCACCCGCCTCTCCAAGCCTGGGAAGCTTTGTGGGGAAGGGCCCTCTGTCTTGTTCAGGGCTCACTGGGAAAGACTTTCCCCATAGGCTTTACCTTTGGAGCAGGTGGTGCCGGCTTTTATTGCGAGAGAAAGGGAACCAGGCTCACTGAGAGTCAATTCCACGTTACCCCAGGTTCTCTAGCCTCATTTTCCCTTATGTGACAATCCTGTGATGTAGGGGGTGTTCCTATTTTATAGCTGGAGAACTGGGGTTGAGAAAGTTTCAGTAACTTGCCCAGGATCAGGAAAATGCACATGTGCAGTGACAGAGTCGTGCCAGCCCCAGGGAGAACCCATCCTGGCTGTGAGTCCTGTTGCCCATGGGCTGGTCAGTGACGTGGAGTTATGCCAGTGTGCAAATGAGCCTGAGCTTCCCAGCAAAGGCAATCTGGGTGGTTGCAAAGAGCCAGCTGCTCTGGCCAGCCTGCCCCATGCTGGGCAGCTCTGTGGGACCCTACCACGACGTGGCTGGCTGTGAGACTGTCAGGAGGAGAGCAAAAAAGACCCTCAGCCCCTGGCAGGACACGTTTCCTCTCCCCAGATTTCTTTGCCTCTTGTTACCCCATTTTAAGGCTACAGACATCATTTGGTTGTACTACTTCAAAGGAGATTCCACCTCCATCTTTGCAAATAACGAATACAACCTGGTATTAGTCAGATGATCTTGAAAGTTCCCAGATGCCATTTTGGTGAAAATGTGACATTCAAAAAATTACTTTCTTCTTCCATCCCCCTGTCTTCCTGACTTGCCTCCATTGCCCAAACACAGGAGCACTTCTTAGAGAGGCTCCCCTTCTGTGAAAGCCTTTGGAGCTGTCCCTTTTGGAAACTTCTCCCTCCTAAGAGGCTGGGAAAAAGAGAGCTGGGTGCACAGCAGACAGTGCCCAGGAATATTTTGGCCCTGGCTTCTGATGTGCATTCATCCTTCCGGAAGGCAGGGTCAGGGAGGGGTCAGTCGCTGGCTGAGGCCCCAGGGGCTCTTGTTTGCTGTGGTGGCTGAACAGGAAGAAGGAGCAGCCCCGGAGCACGATGCCAAGATTCCAGACCCCCTGCCCGCCCCCATCCTGGGCCACCTCCCTCAGGGGCCAGGGCCATGCTGCAGAAAGACTTAGGAGACCTGGTTACAGTTCTAGCTCTGCGCCACCTCTTCCTGTACCCTGAGCAAGTCACTTTACCTCTTAGAGGCTTGGTTTCCTTCTGTGTCTAAAGAAGGGGTTGGACTTGGTGGTCTCCAAGATTCACTCTGGTTCTGACAGTGTCTGAGTTGATCAAGTGAGGAACCCATGATAGTGCTATCCTCTTTAAGAAAGTTGTTTGCATTTTAACTGGGGATTTTTGGAAGGGTGGTTTTTAAGCCACTGGAGCGACATCAGTGGTGGAAGTTTCAGGCAGTGTTCCCGGGTGTCTGTGGAGGAGAGATGGCGTTTTGTATACCTCCCACCCACACACGCTGATCCTGTCTTGGAGGGAGACGCCTCCTTTGTCCTCTTAGCTCACCCATCCCTGTGACTCCTTCTGACCCCCTAGCTCCATCCACCTTTTACCTTGAAGAGGCAGATGGAGAGGCAGCATGGAATTAGAGGGGGCATCTGTGTGGATCCAGGGTACCTATGGGGTGTGCACCTACAGAGAGCCGCTGGTCACAGCATTGGCTGGACCCACTCCAGATGAGGCTGTGTTGGCCACAGGTGCTGCCCTATCCTCAGCTGTCAGGTGCAAAGACCCTAGAGCTTGTCTAACAGAGAAGGAAACAGACAGCAGAGAGCCATCGCCAAGATCTCCTGGCCCCCGGGGCAGTGCTGGCCTGAGTCTGTGGACTCGTGGCTGAGTGGAGTGTTCTCTCCCAAGCCAGGCTGCTTCCTTCAGCTGATCCCTTTATCCAGTCTCTTTTCTCCCCTTTCATTTCAGGGAGCTGATTAACTTCTTTGTGTTTTCAGCCTTTCTAGATCCTCGCCTTTAACTCTGTCGGGGCGGGGTTTGGAAGTGGCCTTGACCTGGTTTTGCCCTGGGGTCATTCAGGGAGGGCCTTTATTCCCGGATCTTAGATTAGCTACCACGGCTGGGTAGCTAATGAGCAGTCCCCCCTCATCCCCAGGCCATCCTCTGGGTCCTCATTTTTCCCTCAAGGGCAGTGTGGAGTGTGGATGGGGCGGGAGGGTTGTGGAGAGGAAAGCAGGACTTTAGCACAGGTGGGGATGTGTCTATTGCCCCAGCCCTCTGGCAGGGGAGGCCACCGGATGGTCAGAGCCCAGTGCTCTCTGGAGTTTGCTCATCAGCCGCTCGGCCTCCTGTGTCAGGGGAAGGGTCTTTCCCAGTGCTTGTTTCCTGTGGCCGAGCGGTGTAGTGGTTACTTGCATGGATGTTGGTTGGAATAAGATACGTGTTTTCATCCTGTCTCTGCCAGCAGTTGGCTGGGTTGTCTTGAGTAAATTACTTAGCTGTTCTGAGCTTCAGCTTCTTTGTCTATAAAATGGAGACAATAATACCTGAGTCACAGATTGTTTTAAGAGGTAAATAAGGAAGTGTGTTCAAAGTGCCTAGCACATAGGAAGCGCCTCATAAAGTTGTAGCAATAGTACTAATACATTAATCCCCCCCCCCACCCAGGGATGAGTGAGACAATTGAGTTTCTGCATCTTTTAAAGAGTTTAGACAGAATTCTGGTTAAGCTCCTGAATAAGCAAGAACCAAAATCTCTTTTCTGAGTTCTTATTCTTTCACCCACTCCTTCCAGCCCCCTTCTTCTCTGTATCCTGTCTTCTTTGTCTCCTTCCTTCTTCCTCTTCTCACTTTGTTGCTTCTCTCTGTCCTCACTCTTCTGGAACCTGTGATGACCTCTTTTCTTTACTTATTCATGATCCAAAGTGCATCCTGGCAGTTCCTAAAGCTGGTGCCATTCAACTAATTTTCTGCTTGCTGTGAGTTCCACCTCCTGCCTCCATAAAGACTCCACAGCCCCCCAGCTGAAGGCTCCCCTCCTGGCTGGCAGGGTACTCATCACCCCTTGGGATGAGGATTTTCCCACAAAATCCTTTCCTAACTTAGGTCTTTTTAACTTTCTATTCTTCGGGTTCCCAACCACCATGACAAGTGGATATATGAGTCTGGAATTCAGAAAGAGGTTCATGCTGGAGATATAAATTGGGAATAACAAGTGTATAGAAGACATTGAGGGGAAGTGAGTCCACATAAAAGGAAGAACTGGGAGAAAGGGAGAAGAGGAGGATTCAGCAAAGAAGACCAAGAAGGGGCAGCCAGCGAGGTGGGAGGAGAGCTAGGCGAGTGTGTGGAGAGGGGAGAGTGTGGAAAGGAGGGGCATGGAGAGAACTGGCCCTTTCCAGTTGTGCTAAAAGAAGAAGGAGCAGAGAAATTGGACGCTCAACAGAGGGGGATGCTTGGTCAGGAAGGATCTCTTTGGAAGATGGGAGCTTTTATGGCTTGTTTGTATGCTGGCTGAATGGTCTACTAGAGAGAGAGAGAGACATTGACGATGCAAGAGGGAATAACAGCAGGAGCAAAATTCTCAGGGTGAGAGGTAGGGATCCTGGTGCCAGTCGGCTTTGGGTTAGGAGCTGAGACCGTTCATTCCCGGTAATAGGAGGGAGACAAGCGTAGGGATACAGAGGCGGGGAGCTGGGTGGGTGTGGCATGGAGAAGATGCGATCGTTTTATTCTTTTTTTTTTTTTTTTTTCTTTTTTGAGACAGAGTCTCACTCTGTCACCCAGGCTGGAGTGTGCAGTGGCATGATCTCAGCTCACTGCAACCTCTGCCTCCTGGTTTCAAGCAATCCTCCCACCTCAGCCTCCCGAGTAGCTGGGATTACAGGCATGCACAACCACACCTGGCTAATTTTGTATTTTTAGTGGAGATGGGGTTTCACCATGTTGGCCAAGCTGGTCTCGAACTCCTGACCTCAAGTGATCTGCCTGCCTCGACCTCTCAAAATGCTGGGATTAGAGGCGTGAGCCTCCACGCCTGGCGCAATAGTTTTATTCTGATTGTTTATGTATTTTTCAACTAAATAAGGAGAGTGTGAGGATGGGGTATAAGATATGGGAGATTTGAAAAGACAGAGAGAGATGGGAGAATAATTCGACTAGTGAAATACGGGGACAATGACAAGATCTGTGGTCACCACTGAAACCACGACTGCTCAGCACAGTGGTGTATTTTTCTGTGCTTGGTATAGGCCAAGAGTAGGTGAAGAGTTGGTATTAACTGGAAGTTGAGTAAGTAGGAAAAAGGGGTAGAGGGGTAGGCAGACACGTGCAAGGCTGGATGTGGAATCTAAGATAGGTGCATGAGCAGTGACGACGTGAGAGGAGATATGGTGAGAAGTGGTACTGTCCGTGGACTGGAGCTCCTGGCGAGATTAAAGAATTGATGGTGTCTGCCTCACTGCCCTCAATAAATTAGGACCAATCTTGCTACTGCTAGCCACCTCCTCGTGATTTTTGGCTCAGGTATATTCCTCTTAAAATAGTTGAATAGACGCTAAAATAGAAAATGATCAAAAGTAATGCTTGTTCTAGGGCTGTTGAATCCAGTCATCATTTAATAGGTGCAATCTAATTAGGTTGCAAAGATACTCAAAGCTTCATAGTGAAACAATGGAAACCGTGTCTTAAATGTATCCTAAATCTTTCCTACTACTCCAGTTGAATCAGTCCTACAAATACTGGAATGGGCATTTGTGTTTGTTTTTAATCCTACAAAGGAAATAATCTAAATGCTTTGTCTTCTAAAAGATCTTATCTTGGGGAGAGAGTATATGGTGCCTGTCTCAAGTTGCTGAGAGAAGCTAAGACCTCCTGTTTATGCAGGAGACCCACAGGTCTCTGGCAAGGAGAATTGCTATCGGGAAGACAGCTTGTGCCTGGATACAGGCCAGTATGGATTGATGTCCTTTGCATGCAACAATCACAGGCCTGTCTGAAACACTTACGGGTATGTCGACAATGGGCTATGGGGTTGAAAGAAATACAGAATTTCTGGGAATGGGCGTAGAGGTTTAGTGGTGCCAAAACAAAGCAGAAGAGTGGTAAACCTTGGCCTTTTGTTCTTTTAAAGTTTTCCAGCTTAACAAAGCAGTAGTACATAGCCCATGGTCTTGATCCTCATAATAGAAGAAGGATGAGGTGGGCAGGAAAGGCTTTCGAGCCCTCATTGAGCAAGGCTGACTCAGGATGAGAGTGGTGGGAAGACTTGGCTGAGGTTCCACACGCTGCATTATAGAGCAGCTTGCTGATGTGCAAGAGTCCCCAGGAGACGCTGGCAGCAGAGGGTCTCCAAGTGTGTCCAGGGCCATCTGCATCTGAGCCCCCTCAGGGCACTAGCTAAACAGGCAGATTCCTACCCACTCCAGGGCAGGGGAATTAGAAGCTTTGGGGCCTGAGAATCTGCATGTTTAAAACATCTCTCCCGGTAATTCTTCTGAACTCTGAAGTTTGAGAGCAGCCGGGTCGCCAAAATGGCATTGCTGTGGCTTGGAGAAATGAGAAGACCAGTGATGGACATTTCCACTCTGAGGTCCTTGTTCTCCAAAGGAAAAATTCCGCATGGAGGCAAGGAGGGCAAAAGAGATGGGTGCCTGGGATGTGTGTTTGAAGGAAGGGGATGGAGAAAGGTCTTCAGGGAGATTGAGAGGCCTGGGTAAGCAGTAGTCATCAGGGGCTAAGAACTTAAACAAGGGAATCTGATTTATGAGCAGCCTCCATGGGGTCTCATCCACCAGCAAAGTCAGACTTGTTTTACTGGTTCCAGCCTTGGAGTCCTGTCCCTGACAGTGGCCAAAGGGCTTTTATCTGAGGTTGTGGGCATCTTTCTGGATGCACTTCGTAAAGGCAGTGCACTGGCGATGCTGAGGGCACTCATGGGCTTGGAGTCAGGTGGACTCCACTTAGTGGCTGCAGAGCTGTAAGCAGATATCCCATCCTCCCAGGACTTTGGTTTCCTTATCTGCGTTAGAGGGTAGAGAAGGCATCACAGAAGTGAGGTCTTTTGGACTGGACTTGGAGGATGAATAGAAGTTCCCAGGACAGGCAAAAGGTGGAAGTAGTAGTTTATTATTCTTTTATTCATATCTGCATGGACACATTCACTCCTTTGATGAGAGTTTTTTTGGTGGAAAAGAGAGGAGGGAAGTCAGTGTGGAGAGAGTGAAGACTGAGTGGGTGTCCCAGAAAGGGAGTGAGTTTAGAGAAGTGCATCTCAAAATACCCTGTGCATGCGAATCACCTGGGGATCTTGTTAAAACTGCAGTCCCTAGGTCAGATCCGGGGTGAGCATTTCTAACCAGCCCCCAGGGGATGCTCATGCAAGTGGTCGATGGGCCCACTTTTGTGTAGCCGGAGTGTAGACAACCTGTTTGACAGGTTTGGCCATGAATGGGAGTTGAGAGATAGTGAGAGACCTTTGTGTGCAAAAGTGCAAGTCAAAAAGAAGAGTGGTTTTTTGGGGGGTGGGGGGTGTAGGAGCGTTGAGGGTGTGGGATGTGGCAAATACTTTTCTGTGGTATGGTGGGGTTGGGGTCCATGGTGGGAAAAGAAGAGAAATCTTAAAAAGGCAGCTGTGGCCAGACAGCAAAGAGGCTTGCAATGCTAAGAAGCTTACTTCATGCTGCAGGCAATGAAAGACAGAGGAATTACTTAAGGAGGAATGGGTTGATGCCTTCTAGCTGGTGGAGTAGAAAAAATATTAGCCATCATTAAAAAATCCCTTCTTACCAGCTTGGGCAGCATAGGGAGACCCCATCTCTATATAAAATTTAAAAATTAGCCAGGCATGGTGGCACATACCTGTAGTCCCAGCTACTGGGGGAGGCAGGTAGGGGGACGTGGATGCTGAGGAGGAAGGATTGCTTGAGCCAAGGAGGCGGCAGGTGCAGTGAACCAAGATTGCACCACTGCACTCTAGTCTAGCCTGGGTGACAGAGTGAAACCCTATCTCTGAAAAAAAAAAAAAAATCCCTTCTTAGCATCTCTGTTTGCTTTGAAGACAGAAGTATGTGACCGTAGCAATACTTGAGTCCAACCACAAAACATGGCCACCATTTGGTTTGGGTCTTAGCTGTTGTGATAGAGTTTCTGCCTCATGGAAAGGAAAACAGAAGTTATATATCTGACCAGTGACCTGCTTAAGATGTGAGTCCTTAATTCTCACATGAAACTTTTAACCTATTCAGCTTAATAGTGCCTAGCTCAGGGATGGCAAGTTGGTTTCTTCTTGTATGCAAACTCTAGACCAGTGACAGCCACTTGGAGTGCTGTGCTGAAAAGGATCATAAGGTCTTATCCATGCAGATTGGAAGACAATGTTGAATTGATTAGTAATGTCTGCCCTGGGTATGGGATAGAATGGTGGTATACGTGCCACATATTTAGCTATCCCTGAAAGGAGGTCAGATTTCTGGTGATGTATTCCTAATTCTCTCACACCTAATGCTCAGGTGAACCAGAGCCATTTTAGAGATGGTTGATGGTTTCATTTCTCTGATTATGGAATGGAGTTTGTCACTGCTTATCCAGAAGGGCCTCGTGAATCTTTGAACACTTGTGAGGCTCTTGTCTACCCTTACAAAGTACCAGGAAAGGCCCTCCTGCTGCACTACTTTAATATTGATGGGTGTTTTTGTATTGAATAGGCCAAATAGACTATATGTCTTAGGGCATCATTTCTATTAAACCTGAAGACAGATGCTGGTCACTGGAAATAGCCATTGATTTGCTTTCTCTTGTACTATTCCAACTCTCTAATTTCTCCAGAGGAAAAAAAGAAAGCCCATGTAAAAATCATCCCCTCTAGCTTTCTAAGTAAGCAGCGAGATCAATTCTCATTCAGGAATTTGTTGGATAAATATTTGTTTGATTGTCAGGAAAAGTGGATGAATCTTAGATGAAAATTTGGCCGATGGAAACAGATCTATCAGTTGGGTTTAGTGATCACAGATACAGGAGGAGTGCAGACCCGGTGCTGCCTGGATGTTGGGGCTTGGAAGCAAATGCATGCAGAGGTAATACGACGCCAGATGGTGCCGGGTTTTGTTGTACTCCCATGGAGCTCCAAGGATGTTTCTCCCGTATGCAGTGTTGGCTCAGTGCAATTGCTGTTTCTTCTTTTTGAGGGTGTTGAAGGACATCAGGTGTCTCCAGGGCTCAAGACACCTGGGTGAGAGACTTCAGGGAAAGCTGGTTGTCACCATCATCATCCTCATTTTCCATTCTCCTGCCACTGCAACTTGGAAAGTGAATTCATGACTTGGGGAAATCGGGAGGTGGAGAATGAAAGGGGGAAAAGGATTGAAAGGAGCCAGTGAGGCTTCGTTGGGGTCTCCAGTGGGGGTGGGGTTGTGGGTGTCTCGATTGTAGTATAGTCTTGTGATGACAAAAAGGGGATCCTTCCTGTGTGCTCTTTTGTTCCTTTCTTAGACAAGGTGAGTGGGGAACACTTCTGTCCTTTCTTGACTGACAGTGTAATGGAGGTGTGGTGTGAAATTGGCTTTGGATGCCAGCCGTCTTTTGTGCTCCTCTCAGAGGCTTCACAGGGAAAGCTGGTGATGGGCGGTCACTTGGGGGAGCCCTAGGGAGGACCTGGACACCCAGCTGCAAGTGGGAATAGCTGGCCTGGCAAGTCTGAGTGGGACTGTGAGGTGGCGGGGGGCATGACCCCTCCTCACTCCAGCCAGGGGCTGAGGAGCTTCTGTCAGGAGCCGAAGCCCAGTAACACCACCATAGGCTGCTGACCTACTTCCTGCAGCCTCCAGGCCCCTTTGTGTGGGCTGGACTGGCTCACTCCTGAGCAATTCTTCCCCAGGGTTTTCCAGGATTAGTCACTGCCAGATGGTGAGGACTCAGTCCTCTGCCTCATGTAAGCAAGTCTGGCTTCTTGAGGGATTTCGCTAGAGGCATGGAGCATTGAGGCTTAAAGGGGCCTGAGGGGACAGCTAGTTCACCCTTATGTGGTGCAAATGGAGGAAACTGAGGCATGGAGAGAGTCAGTGACATATTTCATCATGCCCTGGCAAACTTCTTATGCATGCAAGGAGAAAATGTTGCTATATTTAGCAGCTTAAACAAGGAGCTGAAATGCCATTGGGTTGCCACTTTTGGGTTGGCCATCCTAGGACATGGTGTAGTGAGAGACCAAAGGATTAGAATGTGAAGACATGGATGTTCCACTAGCCCTGGCTCCACTACTTACTTGCGGGCTGCCTGAGCCATTCTGAGCCTCAACTTCTTCATTTGTAAATCAGGAATGTTCCTATCTGTTCTGCCCACCTCACAGGATCCCCACGGGGAATCAAAACAAAATCAGTCAATAGAAAGGTGCTTCCTTGGAAAAGTTATAAGGATCATTAAAGTATCCAAACATGGCTTTCTTTAGGCCAGAATACTAGCTGCAGGTTCTTCCTCTGCTCATATCAGTTTGGCTTACTTCTAGGAAGCCTCTGACTTTCTAACACTGGGGTTGTGTTCTGGGGAACCTAAAGGGGAGGCTTGTTGGAGGTGAGAGAGGCTCAGGCAGGTGGAAGGAAGGCAGAGCAGGGTGAGAGTGAGACAGGGGCATGGAGGGCAAGGCCTGAGGGGAAGACGGCAGGCTCTTTGGTGCAGTGAGTCTCCTCGGGCCATGCCATGGAAACAAGTTGGACCCAGGAAACCGAAGGCAGATGCACTCACCTTGCTGTAAATGCTGAGGGGTCACACCCATTCATATTGCCACTGAAATTATCTTTGTTCCCACTATTAGCTCTTTTAAAGGAGATTCACTGAAAAAAAATAATAACAGCATGGAAGAGATAAATGATCTAAAATCCCAAACCCTGCTCCTCTCCTTCATTGTCCAGCCCAGTGCTGGGCCTCACTGTGGCTGGGAGCACAATGCAGACACTGCCTAAGCAGGAGTTCTGTCAAATGTCTGGTGTTCAGCCAGGCCCCTTACTGTTCCTCCTTTGCCATTGTATTAGTTAGCTATTGCTGTGTAACAAATTATCCCCCAACTTGGCAGCTTAAAACTGCAAACATTTATTATCTCATAGCTTCTGAGGGTTGGGAACCTGGGAATGGCTTGGGTGGGTGGTGTGTCACAGGGTGTCCCATGAGGCTGCAGTCCAGATGTTGGCCAAGGCTGCAGGCATCTCAAAGCTCCATCAGGGCTGAAGGAGTCACTTCCAAGCTCACTCTCATGTTGCCATTAGGCCTCAGGTCCTCATGAGCTGCTGCGTTGAGAGTCTCAGTTCTTTGCTGGCT